>NW_021160024.1:0-153767 GCF_000001405.40 Homo sapiens | reverse complement strand
CAAACCTGCTCAATGAAAAGAGAGGTTCAACTCTGTGAGTTGAATGCACACATCACAAAGAAGTTTCTGAGAACGCTTCTCTCTAGTTTTTATGTGAAGATACTTCCTTTTCCACGATAGGCCTCAAAGCTCTCCAAATGTCCACTTCAGATTCTACAAAATGAATGTTTCAAACCTGCTCTATCAAAAGAAAGGTTCAACTCTGTGAGTTGAATGCACACATCACAAATAAGTTTATGAGAATACTTCTGTCTAGTTTTTACGTGAAGATATATCCTTTTCCACCATAGGCCTCAAAGAGCTCCAAATGTCCACTTGCAGGTCCTGCAAAAAGAATGTTTTAACCCTGCTCTATGAAAAGGAAGGTTCAACTCTGTGAGTTGAATGCACACATCACAAAGTAGTTTCTGAGAATACTTCTGTCTAGTTTTTACGTGAAGATATTCCCGTTTCCAATGAAGTCCTCAAAGCGGTCCAAATATCCACTTGCAGATTCTACTAAAAGAGTGCTTCGAAACTGCTCTATGATAAAGTATGTTCAACTCGGTAAGTTGAATGCACACATCACAAAGAAGTTTCTGAGAATGCTTCTGTCTACTTTTTATATGAAGATATTCGCTTTTAAAATGAAGGCCTCAAAGGGGTCCAAATATCCACTTGTAGAGTCTACAAAATGAGTGTTTCAAGACTGCTCTATGAAAAGGGATTTTCAACTCTGTGAGTTGAATGCAAACATCACAAAGATGTTTCTGAGAATGGTTCTTTCTAGTTTTTATGTGAAGATATTTCCTATTCCACCACAGGCCTCAAAGCGTTCCAATTGTCGAGTTGCAGATTCTACAAAAAGAGTGTTTCATACCTGCTCTATGACATAAGGTTAACTCTGTGAGTTGAATGCACTCAGCACAAAGAAGTTTTTGAGAAAGCATCTCTCTAGTGATTATGTGAAGATAGTCCCGTTTCCAACGAAGACCTCAAAGCGGTCCAAATATCCACTTTCAGCTTCTACCACAAGAGTGTTTCAAAACTGCTCTATGATAAAGTATGTTCAACTCTGTGAGTTGAATGCAAACCTCACAAACTAGTTTCTGAGAATGCTTCTGTCTAGTTTTTATGTGAAGATATTCCCTTTCCAATGAAGTCCTGAAAGCTATCCAAATATCAACTTGCAGCTTCTACATAAAGAGTGTTTCAAAACTGCTCCATTAAAAGTTATGTTCAACTCTGTGTGTTGAATGCAAACATCACAATGTAGTTTCTGAGAATGCTTCTGTCTATTTTTTATGTGATGATATTTCCTTTTGAACCGTAGGCTTCAAAGCTCTCAAAATGTTGAATTGCAGATCCTACAAAAAGAGTGTTTCAAACCTGCTCTATCAAAAGAAAGGTTAAACTCTGTGAGTTGAATGCACACATTACAAGGAGAGTCTGAGAATCCTTCTGTCTCCTGTTTATGTGAAGATATTCCCGTTTCCAACGAAAGCCTCAAAGCGGTCCAAATATCCACTTGCAGATTCTACAAAAAGAGTGTTTCAAAACTGCTCTAGGACAAGGTATGTTCAACTCTGTGTGTTGAATGCAACCACTGCAAAGAATTTTCTGAGAATGCTTCTGTCTAGTTTTTATGTGAAGTTATTTCCTTTTCCACCATTGGCCTCCAAGCGCTGCAAATGTCCACTTGCAGATTCTACAAAAAGAGTGTTTCAAACCTGCTCTATAAAAAGAAAGTTTCAACTCTCTGAGTTGAATGCACACATCACAAAGAAGTTTTTGGGAATGCTTCTGGCTAGTTTTTATGTAAAATTATTTCCATTTCCACCATAGGCCTCAGTGCGTTCCAAATGTCCACTTGCAGATTATACAAAAACAGTGCCTCAAAACTGCTCTATCAAAAAGAAGGTTCAACTCTGTGAATTGAATGCACACATCACAAAGAAGTTTCTGAGAATGCTTCTGTCTAGTGTTTATGTGAAGGTATTCCCGTTTCCACCAAAGGCCTCAAAGCACTCCAAATATCCAATTGCAGATTCTACAAAAAGTGTTTTTCAAAACTGTTCTGTCAAGAGGAATGGTGAACTCGGTGAGTTGAATGCACAAATCACAAAGAAGTTTCTGAGAATGCTTCTGTCTAGTTTTTGTGTGAAGATATTTCCTTTTCCAATATAGGCCTCAAAGCAGTCCAAATATCCACTTGCAGATTCTACAAAAATAGTGTTGCAAAACTGCTCTGTCTAAAGGAATGTTCAACTCTTGGAGTTGAATGCACACATCACAAAATAGTTTCTGTGAATGCTTCTATCTAGTTTCTATATGAAAATATATCCTTTTCTACCGTAGGCCTCAAAGTGCTCCAAATATACACCTGCAGATTCTACAAAAAGAGTGTTTCAAAACTGCTCTACCAAAAGGAAGTTTCAACTCTCTGAGTTTAATGCACACAGCACAAAGAAGTTTCTCTGAATACTTCTGTGTTGTTTTTATTTAAAGATATTTCCTTTTCCAACACAGAGTGCAAAGGGCTCCAAATATCCACTTGCAGTTTCTTCAGAAAGAGAGATTCTAAACTGCCCAATCAAAAGATAGGTTCACCTCTGTGAGTTGAATGCATCCATCACAAAGAAGTTTCTCTGAATGGTTCTGTGTAGTTTTAATTGCAGATATTTCCTTTTCCACAATAGGGTGAAAGGGCTCCAAACATCCACTTCCAGATTCTACAAAACATGAGAAGATAAATTCAACTCAGTCAGTTGAATGCACACATCACAAATAAGTTTCTTAGAATGCTTCTGTGTAGTTTTTATTGAGGATATTTCCTTTTCAACCATAGGGTGCAAAGGGCTCCAAATATCCACTTGCAGATTCTACAAAAAGAGTGTTTCAAAACTGCTCAATCAAAAGAAAGGTTCAACTCTGTGAGATGAATGCACACATCACAAAGAAGTTTCTCAGAATGCTTCTGTGTAGTTTTTATGTGAAGCTATTTCCTTTTCCACAATAGGCCTCAAAGCTCTCCCAACATCCACTTGCAGATTCTGCAAAAAGAGAGATTCAAAACTGCTCAATTGAAAGACAGGTTCAACTCTGTGAGTTGAATGCACACATCACAAAGAAGTTTCTCAGAAAGCTTCTCTGTAGTTTTTATGTGAACATATTTGCTTTTCCACAGTAGGCTTCACAGCGCTCCAAATATCTACTTGCAGATTCTGCAAAAAGAGAGATTCAAAACTGTTCAATCAAAAGATAGGTTCAACTCTGTGAGTTGAACGCATACATCACAAAGAAGTTTCTGAGAATGCTTCTGTGTAGTTTTTATTTGAAGATATTTCCTTTTCCACCATAGGCCACAGAGGGCTCCAAATATCCACTTGCAGATTCAACAAAAAGAGTGTTTGAAAACTGCTCAATCACAAGAAAGTTTCAACTCTGTGAGATGAATGCACACATCACAAAGAAGTTTCTCAGAATGCTTCTGTGTAGTTCTTATTTGAAGATATTTGGTTTTCCACTGTAGGCCTCAAAGCGCTCCAAATATCCACTTGCAGATCCTACAAAAAGAGTGTGTGAAAACTGCTCAATCATAAGCTAGGTTCAACCCTGTGAGATGAATGCACACATCATGAAGAAATTTCTCAGAATGCTTCTGTGTAGTTTTTATGTGAAGATATTTGTTTTTCCACAGTAGGCGTCAAAGGGTTCCAAATATCTACATGAAGATTCTGCCAAAAGAGAGATTCAAAACTGCTGATTCAAAAGATAGGTTCAACTCTGTGAGTTGAATGCATACATCACAAAGCAGTTTCTCTGAATGCTTCTGTGTAGTTTTTATTTGGAGATATCTCCTTTTCCACCATAGAGCGCAAAGGGCTCCAAACATGCACTTGGAGATTCTACCAAAAGATAAATTCAAAACTGCTCAATGAGAAGATAGTTCAACTCTGTGAGTTGAATGCACACCTCACAAAGAAGTTTCTCACAATGTTTCTGCATAGTTTTTATGTGAAGATCTTTGCTTTTCCACTGTAGACCTCAAAGGGCTCGAAATATCCACCTTCAGATTGTGCAAAAGAGAGATTCAAAACTGCTCAATCAAAAGATAGGTTCAACTCTGTGAGTTGAATGCACACATCACAAAGAAGTTTCTCTGAATGCTTCTGTGTAGCTTTTATTTCAAGATATTTCCTTTTCCACCATAGGGCACAAAGGTCTTCAAATATCCACTTGCAGATTCTACAAAAAGAGAGATTGAAAACTCCTCAAAGAGAAGATAATTTCAACTCCGTGAGTTGAATGCACACCTCACAAAGTAGTTTCTGAGAATGCTTCTGCATAGTTTTTATGTGAAGGTATTTCCTTTTCCACAATAGGCCTCAAAGGGCTCCAAATATCCACTTGCAGATTCCACGAAGAGAGTGTTTCAAAACTGCTCAATCAAAAGAAAGTTTCAACTCTGTGAGATGAATGCGCACATCACAAAGAAGTTTCTCAGATTGCTTCCTTCTAGATTTTATGTGAAGATATTTCCTTTTCTATCATAAGCCACAAAGCGCTCCAAATGTCCACTTGCAGATTCTACAAAAACGGTGTTTGGAAACTATGCAATCAAAAGAAAGGTTCAACTCTGTTAGATGAACGTACACATCATAAAAAAGATTCTCAGAATTCTTCTATCTGTTTTTTTGTGAAGATATTTCCTTTTACAACTTAAGCCTGAAGGTGCTTGAAATGTCCCCTTGCAGATTAGCCAAAAAGAGTATTTGAAAACTGGTTCTCCTAAAGAAAGATGGAACTCCAGGAGATGAATGCAGACATCACAGAGAACTTTCTCAGAATGCTTCTATCTACTTTTTATGTGAAGACATTTCCTTCTCCACGACAGGCCTCAAAGCGCTGCCAAATGTCCACTTGCAGATTCTACAAAAAGAGAGTTTCCAATCTGCTCAATCAAAAGAAAGGTTTAACTCCATGAGATTAATGCACGCATCAAAAAGGAGTTTCTCAGATTGCTTCTGTCTAGATTTAATGTGAAAATATTTCCTTTTCTACCATTGGCCACAAAGAGTTCCAAATGTCCACTTGCAGATTCTACAAAAAGAGTGTTTCCAAGCTACTCAATCAAAAGAAACGTTCAACTCTGTGAGATGAATGCACTCATCACAAAGAAGTTTCACAGAATTCTTCTGTCTAATTTTTATGTGAAGATATTTCCTGTTCCACCATAGGCCTCAAGACGCTCTAAATGTCCACTTGCAGATTCTACAAAAAGAGTTTCAAAACTGCTCAATCAAAAGAAAGGGTTATCTCTGTGAGATGAATGCATATATCACAAACAAGTTTCTCATATTGCTTCTGTCTAGATTTTATGTGAAGATATTTACTTTTCTACCATAGACTGCAAAGCGCTCCAAATGTCCACTTTCAGATTCTACAAGAAAGAGTGGTACCAAACTGCTCAATCAAAAGAATGGTTCCACTCTGTGAGAAGAACGCACACATCACAAAGAAGTTTGTCAGAATTCTTCTGTCTAGTTTTTATGTGAAGATATTTCCTTTTCCACCATAGGCCTCAAAGCGTTCCAAATGTCCACTTGCAGATTCTACAAAAAGAGAGTTTCAAAACTGCTGAATCAAAAGAAAGTTTAAACTCTGTGAGATGAATGCACCCATCACTAAGAAGTTTCTCCGATTGCTTCTCTCTAGATTTTATGTGAAGGTATTACTTTTTCTACCATAGGTATAGGCCTCAAAGCACTCCAAATGTCCACTTGCAGATTCTACGAAAAGAGTTTCAAAACCATTCAATCAAAAGAAAGGTTTAACTCTGTGAGATGAATGCACACATCACAAAGAAGTTTCTCAGATGGCTTCTGTCTAGATTTTATGTGAAAATATTTCCTTTTCTACCATATGCCGCAAAGTTCTCCAAATGTCCACTTGCAGATTCTACAGTAAGAGTGTTTCCAAACTGTTCAATCAAACGATAGGTTCAAATCTGTGAGATGAATGCACACATCCCAAAGAAGTTTCTCAGAATTCTTCTGTCCAGTTTTTATGTGCAGATATTTCCTTTTCCACTGTTGGCCTCAAAGAGCTCCAAATATCCACTTGCAGATTCTACAAATAGAGAGCTTCAAGACTGCTCAATCAAAAGAAAAGTTTAACTCCATGAGATGAATGCACACATCACAAAGAAGTTGCTCAGATTGCTTCTGTCTAGACTTTATGTGAAGATATTTTCTTTCCTACTATAGGCTGCAAAGCGCTCTGAATGTGCACTTTCAGATTCTACAAAAGATTGTTTCCAACCGGCTGTATCAAAAGAAAGTTTCAACTATGGGAGATGAAAGCATGCATCATAAAGAAGTTTCTCAGAATTCTTCTGTCTAGTTTTTATGTGAAGAGATTTCCTTTTCCACCACAGGCCTAAAGGGGCTCCAAATGTCCACTTGCAGATACTACAAAAAGAGAGTTTCAAAACTGCTCAATAAAAAGAAAGGTTTAACTCTGTGAGATGAATGCACACATCACAAAGAAGTTTGCCAGACTGCTTCTGTCTAGATTTTATGTGAATATATTTCGTTTTCTACCATAGGCCGCAAAGCACTAAAATTGTCTACATGTAGATTCTACAAAAAGAGTGGTTCCAAAAACCCCATTGAAAAGAAACTTTCAACTCTGTGTGATGAACGCATGCATCACAAAGTGATTTCACAGCATTATTCTGTCTAGTTTTTGTGTGAAGATATTTCCTTTTCCACCACAGTTCTCAAAGAGCTTCAAATGTCCACTTGCAGATTGTTCAAAAAGTGTGTTTCCAAACTACTCGATCAAAAAAAGTTTAACTCTGTGAGATGAACGCACATGTTGCATAGATGTTTCTCAGATTTCTTCTGTCTAGTTTTTATGTGAATGTATTTCATTTTCCACCACAGGCCTCAAGGGGCTTCAAATGTCCACTTGCAGATTCCACAAAAAGAGTAATAAATAACTGGCCCATCAAAAGAAAGGCTCAAATCTAGGAGATGAACGCACATATCAAAAAGTAGTTTCTCACATTGATTCTATCTAGTTTTTATGTGAAGATATTTCCTTTTCCACGATAGGTCTCAAACTGCTCCAAATGTTCACTTGCAGAATCTACAAAAAGAGAGTTTCAAAACTGCTCAATCAAAAGAAAGGTTTAACTCTGTGAGATGAATGCACACATCACAAAGAAGTTTCTCAGAATTCTTCTGTCTAGATTTTATGTGAAGATATTTCCTTTCCCCCAAGGGCCTGAAAGAGCTCCAAATGCCCAATTTCAGATTCAACAAAAACAGATTCAGAACTACTCATTCAAAGGAAAGTTTTAACTCTGTGAGATAAATGCACACATCAAAAAGAAGTTTCTCAGATTGCTTCTGTCTAGATTTAATGTGAAGATATTTCCTTTTCCACCATAGGCCTCAAAGCACTCCAAATATCCACTTGCAGATTCTACAAAAAGGGTGTTTCAAAACTGCTCCAATAAAAAGGAAGTTCTAACGCTGTGAGATGAATGCACACATCACAAATAAGTTTCTCAGATTGCTTCTGTCTAGATTTTATATGAAGATATTTCCTTTTCTACCATAGGCCGCAAAGTTCTCCAAATGTCCACTTGCAGATTCTACAAAAAGAATGTTTGCAAACTGCTCAATCAAAAGAAAGGTTCAACTCTGTGAGATGAATCCACACGTCCCAAAGAAGTTTCTCAGAATTCTGTCTAGTTTTTATGTGAAAATATTTCCTTTTCCACCATAGTCCACATAGCGCTCCAAATGTCCACTTGCAGATTCTACAAAAAGAGTGTTTCAAAACTGCTCCAATCAAAAGGAAGTTTTAATGCTGTGAGATGAATGCACACGTCACAAAGGAGTTTCTCAGATTACTTCTGTCTAGAATTTATGTGAAGATATTTCCTTTTTTACTATAGGCCACAAAGCACACAACACGTCCACTTGCAGATTCTACAATTTTTCCAAACTGCTCAATCAAAAGAAAGGTTCAACTCTGTGAGATGAACCCACACATTTCAAAGAAATTTCTCAGAATTCTTCTGTTTAGCTTTTATGTGAAGATATTTCATTTTCCACGCTAGGCCTCAAGGCTCTCGAAATGTCCACATGCAGATTCCACAAAAAGAGTATTTCAAAACTGGTCCATCAAAGGAAAGGTACAGCTCTGTTGAATGAATACACCCATTACAAAGAATTTTCTCAGATTTCTTCTGTCTATATTTTATGTGAATATATTCCCTTTTCTACCATAGGCTGCAAAGCGTTCCAAATGTCCACTTCCAGATACTACAAAAAGAGTGTTTTCAAACTGCTCAATCAAAAGGAAGGTTCAACTCTGTGAGATGAACCCAAACATCACAAAGAAGTTTCTCAGAATTTTTCTGTCTATTTGTTACGTGAAGATGTTTCCTTTTCCAACATAGAAGTTTCTCAGATTGCTTCTCTCTAGATTTTATGTGAAGATATTTCTTTTTCCACCGTAGGCCTCAACACACTCCAAATGTCAACTTGCAGATTCTACAAAAAGAGAGTTTCAAAACTGCTCAAAAAAAGAAAGATTTAACTGTGTGAGATGAATGCACACAGCAGAAAGAAGTTTCTCAGATTGGTTCTGTCTAGATTTTATGTGAAGACATTTCCTGTTCTACCATAGGTCACAAAGTGCTCCAAATTTCCACTTGCCGATTCCACAAAAAGAGGGTCTCGAAACTGCTCAATGAAAAGAAAGTTTCAACTCGGTGAGATGAAAGGACACATCACAAAGAAGTTTCTCAGATTGCTTCTGTCTAGATTTTATATGAAGATATTTCTTTCTTCTAACATAGGCTGCAAAGCGTTCCAAATGTCCACTGCAGATTTTACAAAGAGTGTTTCCAAACTGCTCAATCAAAAGAAAAGTTCAACTTTATGAGATGAACGCACACATCACAAATACGTTTCTCAGAATTCTTCTGTCTTGTTTTTATGTGAAGATATTTCCTTTTCCAACATAGGCCTCAAAGCCCTACAAATGTCCACTTACAGATGCTACAAAAAGTGAGTTTCAAAACTGCTCAATCCAAAGAAAGGTTTTACTGTGTGAGATGAATGCACACATCATAAAAAAGTTTCTCAGATTGCTTCTTTCTAGATTTCATCTGAGGATATTTCCTTTTCCACCATATGACTCATAGTACTCCAAATGTCCACTTTCAGATTCTACAAAAAGAGAGTTTCAAAACTTCTCAATCAAAGGAAAGGTTTAACACTGTGAGATGAATGCATACATTTACAAAGAAGTTTCTCAGATTTCTTCTGTCTGGATTTTATGTGAAGATATTTCCTTTTCTAAAATAGGCTGCAAAGCGCTCCAAATGTCCACTTGCGGATTCTACAAAAAGAGTGTTTCCAAAGTGCTCAATCAAAAGAAAGGTTCAACTCGGTTAGATGAATGCACACATAACAAAGCAGTTTCTCAGATTACTTCTGTCTAGATTTTATGTGAAGATATTCCTTTTTTCTACCATAGGCTGCAAAGAGCTCCAAATGTCCACTTGCAAATTCTAGAAAAAGAGTGTTTTCAAACTGCCCCATCCAAACAAAAGTTCAACTCTGTGAGATGAATGCACACATCACAAAGAAGTTTCTCAGAATTCTTCTGTCTAGTTTTTATATGAAGATATTTCCTTTTCCACCATAGGCCTCAAAACGCTCCAAATGTTCACTTCCAGATTTAAAAGACAGAGTGTTTCCAAACCAGTCAATCAAAAGAAAGGTTGAACTCTGTGAGATGAACGCATGCACCAAAAAGAAGTTTCTCATAATTCTTCTGTCTAGTTTTTATGTGAAGATATTTCCTTTTCTACCATAGGCCACAAAGCGCTCCAAAGGTCCAGTTGCACATTCTACAAAAGGAGATTTTCAAAACTCCTCAACCAAAGAACATTTTAACTCTGTGAGATGAATGCACACATCACAAAGAAGTTTCTCAGATGACTTCTGTCTAGATTTTATGTGAAGATATTTCCTTTTCTACCACAGGCCACAAAGCTCTCCAAATGTCCACTTGCAGATTCAAGAAAAAGACTGTTCAACACTGTGAAAGGAATCATCATAGAATGGTATTGAATGGAATCATTGAATTTATTCGAATGGAATAATCATCGAATGGAATTGAATGCAATCATTGAATGTAATAGAATGGAATCATCATTGAATGGAATCAAATGGAATCATCATCGAATGGAATCGAATGGAATCATCATCGAATGGAATCGAATGGAATCATCAGCAAATGGAAACAAAAGGAATCATCATGGAATAGAATGGAATGGAATCATCGAATGGAATGGAATGGAATCATCATGGAAAGGAATTGAAGGGAATCATCGAATGGAATCGAATGGAATCATAGAATGGAATCGAATGGAATCTTCATCCAATGGACTCAAACGGAATTATCATGGAAAGGAATCAAATGGAATCATCGAATGGAATCATCGAATGGACTCGAATGGAGTCATCATCACATCAAATCGGATGGAATCAACGAAGGAACTCGAATGAAATCATCGAATGGACTCGAATGGAATCATCATTGAATGGAATCAAATGGAATCATCGAATGGACTCAAATGGACCCATCATCGAATGAAATCGAATGGGATCATCATCAAATGTAATTGAATGGTATCACTATCAAAAGAAATCAAATGGAATCACCAAATGGACTCAACAGTAATGATCAAATGGACTCAAATGGAATCATCAAATGGAATCGAATAGAATCATCAAATGGACTTGAATGGAATTATCAAATGGACTCGAATGGAGTCATCAAATGGAGTCATCAAGTGGACTCTAGTGGAATCATAATAAAATGGAATTGAATGGAATCATCAAATGGACTCAAATGGAATCATTGGATGGACTCGAATGAAATCATTGAATGGACTCAAATGGAATTATCATCGAATGGAATTGAATGGAATCCTCGAATAGAATCAGATGGAATCATCAAATGGAATTGAACGGAATCATCATCGAACAGAATCAAATGGAATGATCGAATGGAATCGAAGGCAATCATCATCGACTGGAATCAAATGGAATCATTGAATGGACTCAAATGGAATCAATGACAAGTGGAATCGAGTGGAATCATCGAAAGAAATCGAATGGAATCATTGTCGAATGGAATGGAATGGAATCAAAGAATGGAATTGAATAGAATCACCAATGAATTGAATCGAATGGAATCATCATCAAATGGAATCAAAGGGAATCATTGAATGGACTCGAATAGTATCATTATCGAATGGAATCATGTGGAATCATCTAATGGGCATGAATAGAATCATCATCGAATGGAATCGAATGGAATCATCTAATGTACTCGAATGGAATCATCATTGAATGGAATAGAATGGAATCATAGAATGCAATCGAACGGAATCATCATTGTATGGAATTGAGTGGAATCATCGAATGGACTTGAATATAATCATCGGAGAATGGAATCAAATGGAATCATCAAATGGACTCGAATGGAATTATCATCGAATGGAATCGAATGGAATCATTGAATGGACTCGAATGGAATCATCACCGAATATAATCAAAAGCAATCATCAAATGGATTCGAATAGAATCATCGAATGGACTCCAATGGAATCATCATCAAACAGAATCGAATGGAATCATCGAATGGAATGGAATGGAATCATCATCGAATGGAATCGAATGGAATCACTGAATGGAATAGAATGGAATCATCGAATGGAATCGAATGGAATCATCATCAAATGGAATCGAATGTAATCACTGTATGGACTTGAATGGAATCATCATCAAATGGAATTGAAAGGAATGATCTAATGGATTTGAAAGGAATCATCTAATGGACTCGAAAGGAATCATCATCGAATGAAATCAAATGGAATCACAGAACGGAGATGAAAGGAATCATCATCGAATAGAATCGAATGGAATCATTGAATAGACTCAAAAGGAATGTCATTGAATGGAATCAAAAGCCATCATCGAATGGACTGAAATGGAATTATCGGATGGAGTCAAATGGAATCACCGAATGGACTTGAATGGAATTATCATCAAATGGACTCAAATGGAATGATCGAATGGACTCGAATGGAATAATGGATTGGACTCAAATGGAATTATCGAATAGGCTCAAATGGAATCATCGAATGGACTCGAATGGAATCATTATGGAATGGAATGAAATGGAATAATCAAATGGAATTGAATGGAATCATAGAATGGAATCGATCGGAATCTTCATCAAATGGAGTAAGATGGAATCATCGAATGGAATTGAATACAGTCATCATCGAATGGACTCGAATAGTATCCTCATTGAATGGAATCGAATGGAATCATCAAATGAATTTGAATGAAATCATCATCGAATGCATTCTAATGGAATAATCGAATGAACTGGAATAGAATCATCGAATGGAGTTGAATGGAATCATAATCAAATGAAATCAAATGGAATCATAGAATAGCATCGAATGGAATCATCATTGAATGGAGTTGAATGGAATCATCGAATGGACTCGAACGGAATCGTCATGGAATGTAATCGAAAGGAATCTTTGAATGGACCCAAATGGAATTATCATCGAATGCAATCGAATGGAATCATCACCGAATGCAATCGAATGGAATCATAGAATTGAATAGAATGGGATCATCATCGAATGGAATCAAATAGAATCATTGAATGAAATTGAATGTAATCATCAGTGAGTGGAATCTAATGGAATCATCGAATTGAATAGAATGGAATCATCATTGAATGGAATCGAATAGAATCATTGAATGTAATCGAATGGAATCATCATCGAGTGGAGTCGAACGGAATCATCAACGAATGGAGTCGAATGGAATCATAGAATGGAATCCAATGTAATCATCATCGAATTTAACCCAATGGAATCATTAAATGGACGCGAATGGAATCATCATCGATTGGAATAGAATGGAATCATAAAATGCAATCGAATGGAATCATCATCGAATGAAATCAAATGGAAGCATCGAACGGACTCGAATGGAATCATCATCGAATGGAATCGAATGGAATCATTGAATGGACTCGAATGGAATCATCATCGAATGGAATTGAAAGGAATCATCAAATGGACTTGAATGGAATCATTGAATGGACTCGAATGGAACCATCATTGAATGCAATCGAATAGAATCATTGAATGACATCGAATGGAATCATCATCGAATGGAATCAAATGGAATCATCAAATGGACTCGAATGGAATCACCATTGAATGGAATCGAATGGAATCATCATCGAATGAAATCGAATGGAATCATCGAATGGACTCAAATGAAATCATCATTGAATGGAATCGAATGCAAGCATTGAAGGGACTCGAATAGAATCATCATTGAATGGAATTGAATGGAATCATCGAACGGAATCGAATGGAATCATCGAATGGCATCGAATGGTATCATCACCGAATGGAATCATCAAATGGAATCGAATGGAATCATCATCAAATGAAATTGAAGGGAATCATTGAATGGCATCAAAAGGAATCATCATCCAATGGAATCAAATGGAATCATCTAACGGACTCGTTTGCAGTCATCTTCGAATAGAATTGAGTGGAATCATCAAATGGACACGAATGGAATCATCATCGAATGGAATCAAATGGAATCATCATCAAATGGAGTCGAATAGAATCATCATAGAATGGAATTGAATGGAATCATCAAGTGGAATAGAATGGACTCATCATCGAATGGAATCAAATAGAATCATCGAATGAAATCAAGTGGAAATATCATCGAATGGAATCGAATGGAATCATCATCAAATGGAATCAAATGGAATCATCAACAAATGGAATCACATGGAATAATCGAATGGAATCTAATGCAATCATCATCACATGGAACCGAATGGAACCATCATGGAGGGGAATCTAATGGAATCATCATCGAATGGAATCCAATGGGATCACTGAATTGAATGGAGTGATCATTGAATGGAATCAAAGGGGTTCATCAAATGGGATCAAAAGGAATCATCGAATGGAATCGAATGGAATCATCGAATGGATTTGAATGGAATCATCATTGAATGGAATCATCATTGAATGGAATCAAATGGAATCATTGAACGGACTCGAGTGGAATCATCATTGAATGGAATAAAATGGAATCATTCAAAGGATACGAATGGAATCATCATTGAATGGAATCCAATGGAATCATCGAATGGACTCAAATGGAAATATCATCAAATGGAACCAAATGGAATCATCGAATGGCATTGAATAGAATCATCAATGAATGTTATCTAAGGGAATAATCAAATGGACTCGAATGGAATCATCTAATGGACTCGAGTGGAATCATCATCAAATGGAATGAAATGGAATCATCGAATGGGACTTGAATGGACTCATCAATGAATAGAATCGACTGGAATCATCAAATGGACTCAAATGAAATCATCATCAAATGGAATCTAATGGAATCTGAGAATGGACTCGAATGGAATCATCAACGAATGGAATCAAATGGAATCATTGAATGGCATCGAATGGAATCATCATGGGAATGGAATGGAATAGAATCATCGAATGGACACGAATGGAGTCATGATCGATTGGAATCGAATGTAATATTTGAATGCACTCAATTGAAATCATCATCGAATGCAAGTGAATGGAATCATCATCGAATGGAATCAAATGGAATCATCATCGTATGGAATCATCATCAAATGGAATCGAATGGAATCATCATTGAATGGAATTGAATGGGATCATCATCGAATGGAATAGAATGGAATCATCCAATGGAATAGAATGGAGTCATCATCGAATGGGATCGAATGGAATCATCGAATGAAATTGAATGGAATCATCATCGAATGAAATAGAATGGAATGATCATCGAATGGAATTGAATGGATTCATCATCCAATGTAACTGAATGGAATCATCATCGAATGGAATCAAATGGAATCATCATCGAATGGAATTGAATGGAATCATCCAATATAATAGAATTGAATCTTCATCAAATGGAATCAAATATAATCATCAAATGAAATCGAATGGAATCATCATTGAATGGAATCAAATGGAATCATCAATGAAAGGAATCGAATGGAATCATAGAATGGAATCCAATGTAATCATCATTGTATTGAACTCAATGGAATCATTAAATGGACCAGAATGGAATCATTGAATGGACTCGAATGGAATCATCATCAAATGGAATAGAATGGAATCATTCAATGGAATCGAATGGAATTATCATCAAATGAAATCAAATGGAATCATCGAGTGGACTCGAATGGAATTATCATCTAACGGAATTGAATGGAATCATCAAATGGACTCGAATGGAATCATCATTGAATGGACTCAAAAAGAATTATCGAATGGACTCGAATGGAATCATCATCAAATGGACTCAAATGGAATGATCGAATGGACTCGAATTGAATCATGGATTGGACTCAAAAGGAATTATTGAATGGGCTTGAATGGAATCATCGAATGGGCTTGAATGGAATCATCGAATGGACTTGAATCGAATCATTATCGAATTGAATAAAATGGAATCATCGAATGGAATCGAATGGAATAATCGAACGTAATTGATCGCAAACATCATTGAATGGAATCAACCATTATCATCAAATGGAATCGAATGCAGTCGTCATCGAATGGAATCGAAAGGAATCATCATCGAATAGAATTGAATGGAATCATCGAATGGAATAGAGTGGAATCATCCTCAAATGTAATCGAATGGAATCATCGAGTGGAATCAAATGGAATAATCGAATGGAATTGAATGGAATCAGCATCAAATGATACTGAATGGAATCATCATCGAATAGAATCGAATGGAATCAATGAATGGAATCATCATCAAATGGAGTCAAATGGAATCATCAAATGGACTCGAATGGAATCATCATAGAATGGAATTGAATGGAATCATCGTGTGAAATCGAATGGATTCATCATTGAATGGAATCGAATGGAATCATCTTCAGTTGAAATCAAAAGGAATCACCGAATGGACACGAATGGAATAATCATCAAAAGGAATCACATGGAATCATTGAATGGACTCGAATGGAATCATCATCGAATGGAATTGAATGGAATCATCGAATGGAATCGAATGGAATCATCATCGAATGGCATCAAATGGAATCATTATCAAATGGAATAGAAAAGAATCAACATCAAATGGAGTCTAAAGGAATCATCATTGAATGGAATCCAAAGGAATCATCATCGCATGGAAACGAATGGAATCATCATCGAATGGAACTGAAAGGAGTCATCATCGAATGGAATCACATGGAATCATCATCGAATGGAATCGAATGGAACCATCATCAAATGGAATCGAATGGAATCATCGAATGGAATCGAATGGAATCATCATCGAATGGCATCAAATGGAATCATCATCGAATGGAATAGAAAAGAATCAACATCAAATGGAGTCGAAAGGAATCATCATTGAATGGAATCCAAAGGAATCATCATCGCATGGAACTGAATGGAATCATCATCGAATGGAACCGAATGGAGTCATCTTCGAATGGAATTGCATGGAATCATCATCGAATGGAATCGTATGGAATCATCATCGAATGGAATCGAAGGGAACCATCATCAAATGGAATCGAATGGAATCATCGAATGGAATTGAATGGAATCATCATCGAATGAATTGAATGGAATCATTGAATGGTCTCGAATGGAATCATTATCAAATGGAATCGAATGGAATTGCCAAATAGAATTGAATGGAATAATCATCGAATGGACTCGAATGGAATTATCATCCAATGGAATTGAATGGAATTATCAAATGGAATTGAATAGAATCATTGAATGGACTCGAATGGAATCATCCAATGGAATGGAATGGAATAATCAATGAACTCGAATGGAATCATCATTGAATGGAATCGAATGGAACCATTGAATGGAATCAAATGGAATCATCGAGTGGAATCAAATGGAATCATTATCATATGGAATCGAGTGGAATCATCATTGAATGGAATCAAAAAGAATCATCATCAATTGGAATTTTATGGAATCATCATCAAATGGAATCCAAAGGAATCATCATTGAATGGAATCAAATGGAATCATCATCGAATGGAAACGAAAGGAGTCATCATCAAATGGAATTGCATGGAATCATCATCGAATGGAATTGAATGGATTCATCATCAAATGGAATCTAATGGATTCATTGAATGGAATTGAATGGAATCGTCATCAAATGAATTGAATGGAATCATTGAATGGTCTCGAATGGAATCATCTTCAAATGGAATCGAATGGAATCATCGCACAGAATCGAATGGAATTATCATTGAATGGACTGAAATGGAATCAACATCAAACGGGAGATCAAACGGAGATTATCGAATGGAATCGAAGAGAATCATCGAATGGGCTTGAATGGAATCATCGAATCGAATGGAATGGAATAATCCATGGGACTCGAATGCGATCATCATCGAATGAAATTGAATGGAGTCATCATCGGATGGAAATGAATTGAATCATCATCGAGTGGAATCGAATGGAATCATCAAATGGAATCAGATGGAATCATCACCGAATGGAATCGTATAGAATTATGGAATGAAATTGAATGTGATCATCATCGAATGGACTCGAATGGAATCATCATCCAATGGAAACTAATGGAATCAACATCAAATGGAATTGAATGGAAAAACCATCGAATTGAAACGAATAGAATTATCATGAAATTGAAATGGATGGACTCATCATCTAATGGATTCGAATGGAATCATCGAATGGAATTGATTGGAATCATCTTCAAATGGAATCAAATGGAGTCATTGAATGGAATCGAATGGAATCATCATCGGATGGAAACGAATGGAAGCATCATAGAATGGAATCGAATGGATTCATTGAATGGAATCAGATGGAATCATCGTATGTACTTGAATGGAATCATCGAATGGACTCGAATAGAATCATTATTGAATGGAAATGAATGGAATCATTGAATGGTCTCGAATGGAATCATCATCGAATGGAATCGAATTTAATCATTGAATAGAATTGACTGGAATCATCTTCGAATGGAATTGAATAGAATCGGCATCGAAAAGAATCAAATGGAATCATCATCAATGGAATTGAATGGAATTTTCTTCAAATGGAATCGAATGGAAACATCATCGAATAGAATCCAATGGGATCATCGAATGAAACTGAATGGAATCATCATCAAAACGAATCAAAATAAAACAAAGAATGGAATCCAACAGAATCATCGAATGGAATCAAATGGAATCATCATTGAATGGACTCGATTGGAGTCATCATCGAATGGAATCGAATGGAATCATTTAATGGACTCGAATGGAATCATAGAATGGACTCGAATGGAATCATCGAATGGAATCTAATGCAATCATCATAGAATGAAATCAAATGGAATCATCGAATGGAATCAAATGGAATCATCATCGAATGGAATCAAATGAAATCATGGAATGCACTCGAATGGAATCATAGAATGGACTCAAATGGAATCAACATTGAGTGGAATCAAAAGAAAACATCAAATGGAGTTGAATGGAATAATCGAATGGCGTCATCATCTAAGGGAATAGAATGGAATCATCGAATGGACCCAAAAGGAATCATCATCGAATGTAATCAAATGGAATCATCAAATGGAATCCAATGGAATCATCATTGAATGGAATTGAATGGAATCATAATCAAATGGAATCGAATGGAATCATCAATGAATGGAATCGAATGGAGTCATCGAATGGAGTCCGCTAGAATCATCATCAAATGGAACCGAATGCAGTCATCATCTAATGGAATCAAATGGAATCATCGAATGGACTCGATGGAATCATCATTGCATGGAATCGAATGGAATCATCGAATGGACTCAAATGGAATCATCATCGAATGGAATCGAATGGAATCATCGATTGGACACGAATGGAATCACCATCGAATGGAATCAAATGCAATCTTTGAATGGAATCGAATGAAATCATTGAATGGAATCGAATAGAATCATCATTGAATAGAATCGAATTGGATCATCATCGAAAGGAATCTAATGAAATCATCATCAAATGGAATCTAGTGGAGTTATCATCTAATGGAATTGAATGGAATCAGCAAGGAATGGAATCGAATGGAGAAATCAAATGGAATCCGTTGGAATCATCATCGAATGGAACCGAATGCAGTCACCATAGAATGGAATCGAATGGAATCAATGAAAGGACTCGAATTGTGTCATCATTGAATGGAATCAGATGGAATCATCGAATGGCCTCGAATGGAATCATGGAATGGACTCGAATGGAAACATCATCGTATGGAATCGAATGGAATCCTCGAATGAACTCTAATGGAATCATCATCGAATGGAATCGAATGGAATCAAATTGAATCATCGAATGGACTCTAATGGAATCATCATCGAATGGAATCGAATGGAATCATCAAATGGACTCGAATGGAATCATCATCGCATGGAATCGAGTGGAATCCTCGAATGGGATCAAATGGAATCATCAAATGGAATCAAACAGATTTTTAAGAAACTTACTTGATCCAAAAAATAGAAAAACACACAAGCCAAAACCCCCTAAAACTGTGATAAGCAAAGCAGACATCATAACAGGAAATATCACTGGGGATGAAGAATAACATTTCAAAATGACAAAGGGGAAAATACACCAAGAGGTCATGTAAATAAGAAATATGTATGCACACAATAGCAGTACTTCAAAATACATAATATAAAACCTATTAAAACTGAAAGGTAAAATAGTAAAACCACAGTCATCCATGGGGATTTCAACAGTCTCCTGCCAGAAATTTTTAAATTTTGTTAAACGAAGAGTTGGTAAGGGTAGAGAGGATCTTAAAAATATAATTAGCCAACTTGATCTAGTTGAATCTTTTAGAATAATCTAAGGATGAGGAATGAGGTAGCAGAGAAAGAAAAGGCAGACATCAACGTGACATTAGTGTTTCAAGGCTATGAGAATACACCAATAATGGTGTGTGTGTGTGTGCAGATGGTAAGCTCAATCTTAAAAATATTGAGTTTTAACTGACAATTCATTATTAGGAAAGATAAGAGGAAATGATATCTAGTGAGAGGCTATATGACTGAACTCTAAGAGAAAGGTCACAGCAGAAATTGTGTACTTGACAGCTCTATAAGGAGGTCAGTCAAAAATAAGTCAGTGATGAATTCTCTGGTGTAAAAGCAGAGGAATGAGGATTAGATTTAAAACACATGGAAGCAGAGTGACTTATGATAAAAACATGAGCTTGAAAATCCTGCAGAGAGGGCTTTAAATCCTGGGTATGATATTCTGCTTGTGTAGGCAATAGTGATAAAAACACAACAACAAAGAGAGGTAAAGAGCACTTTCCTTTGATATAAGTAAAGGGCACGTCTTATTGCACATATATATATATAGGCATTCAACATGTTTCTCTCACTGAAACAGCAAGCTCTCCAGGCCTTCACGTTCCCAGTGAGGTAGGTAAACTTCTGATGATTATACTCACCCTCCCTCATTTCAAAGCTCCCATTGTTATTGTCTTGGCTCTGGATTCCCTCAAAAATAGACTATGAAACAAATATCTGGGGTCAGGTACTTTAATCAGAAATTGAGTGAGAAAGCACAGAAGTGGAGAAAATGAAACAGAACACGAAGCCAGTGTGAATGAGTAGTTACTGCTATGTGCTCAGTAATGATGGAGGTATGGAGATTGTCTCAAAATAACTTTACAAAGAGATGGGGATGCTGGAATCCCCATCTCTTATTGCTTAAGGATTGCCTTAGAATCATTAACTCTCCACCCCAACTCCTTCTTTGTTCCTATGTGTGGTAGAGAAGCACTGGTTAGCCTCAAGAAGCTTGCAGGCAGGTCCAAAAATCAGAAAGACAGGCATGATGTGGGGAGCTCTCAGTTAGCTGGAAACAGGTGAATTTCAGGTGAACACGTTGAGTCCAGGACATAGAAGACAAGTCATCAGCAATATCTGCTGTAGCCAGTTTTCTTTTTCTTTTTAAGAATATATATACTTTTTATTGGGGGTCCCCAAGTCCCCCTTTGGTTTAATGATTCACATAACTCAAGAAGCTGATTTTTTTTGTGGTTATAGTTTCTAACAGTGAAAGTAACCTGATTAAAATAATCAGAAGCATAAAAGCACATAAAGTTGAATCCAGGACAAACCAGATGTGAGCTTACAGGTGTCCTTTCATAGTGGGGACTTCACACTGACTAATTTTCTTTACAATGGTGTGAGACAACATGTGTGAACTTGTTGCCAACTAGGGAAGCTCAGTCAGTCTTGAGTCCAGGGTTTTTATTAGGATTCCACCACATATGCATCGAGTGTCCTGTGACTGAACTTAGCTACTTAATTCCCAACCTCCCTATGCCCTAAGAGAGGTCATATTAATATGGCATTACACAAAGTCATAGGCATACAGAAACAGGTGCTCACAAGAAATCACGTTGTTAGCATCAGCTATTTGATATGACCTACGTTTTCAGGTATACAAAGACTCTCATCCGGCAGCATATACCAAGGGCTCATAGGTTATCATCTCCCAGGAGCTTGTCAAGGGCCAGTCCTGAAGACCTTTGGAATGTGCAAGGTTTTGGAAAGCCATGTCTGCAGAATTAACCCTTCATTACACAACTTCCAAGAATTTTTTTTATCTTTAAAAATGTTTTTTGATCTTTGACAATGTACCAACCAATACTGAGTAATTAGTAACAACAGTGTACTCCTGAGTACTTGCACCTGCAAGGAGAAAAAGGACAGATGCACTTACATAGGACAGATACAAATAGACACCACTATGACAAGTAAAGCTGGAATAATCAATAAATTCCTAAAGACAAAGTGGGGCTGGTGAGATTGGGAGACCGCTGACAGCTGCAGAAGTTGGGAAAGATCCATCATCTTGAAAACTTTTTCCCCACAAACCCACTGTGATCTCTCAAGCAATTGGTAAGGAATCCAAGAGAGTCTGTATATGATACAGATCAGGGAGAGCAGAACACTTGGGAGGTGACCAGGTCTTGGGGGCCGAGCCCTTGTGAATGGGATTAGTGCCTTTATAAAAGAAGCTCAATGGAGTTCTTGTGTGCCTTCCACTATGTGAGGACATAGAAAGAAGGCACCATCTATGAACCATGAAATGGGCTCTCATCAACACTGAATTTGTGAGCATCTTGACCTGAGATCTTACAGCCTCAAGAAGTGTGAAAAAGAAATATCTGTTGTTTTTTAGTCACCCGGTTTATGTTATTTTGTTATAAGAGTCCGAATAGACCAAGATATTCCACTTAATATGTAGGGGAAGGCAACAAAAACTGCCACACTTAGAATACTCCTGATGCTGGGAGTATGAAAACAGGAAAAACAAAACAAAACTGCTCTTGAAGGTGAAGGAGGAATATCACTGAGCTCACCAACACAGCCAGGAAAAGAACAGAGGTGTGAGAAGGCTACATTCCTGAGACCCTGAGAAAAAGTACCTGCATAAGACTGAGATGAAATTACCTACCCTAGTTATAATTGAAATCCCAAAAAGAATAGAGGAAAAAATAATGGAGCAAAAGAAATATATTTCAAAATAACTGCCAAAAATATTCTAAAAGAAGTGACAGAAAATCAAACTTCAGATATAGGAAACTCAGAGAATGTCAAATAGAACAAAAATAAATAAGAATTCCATCTTGAAAAATCTTTAAAATATCAACTCTAAATTTTATATCTTGCTCCAAATACATAGAGATATAAATAGGTTATCATCAAGATATGGAGAAAGCCATATCATGGAAACACTAAAATAAAGCTGTGGAAGGACTACATTGATATTAGACACAACAGAGTTCGGAACAAGGAATAGTATCAGAGATGAGAGATAATAAATAATATAATAATGAATTCTCAAGATGTAAACATCCTACTAATTAGGGTATGCAGCTAACAACAGAACCTCCAAATACATGAGGTAAAACAGGAAAGAAATCAAAGGTGAACTAGAAAAATCCAAAATTATATTTGCAGACTTCAACACTTTTGTCTTAGTAATGGAAAGACTAGGCACAAACTCAGTAATCATGTGGAAGATAAGAACAATATCATCAACAAGACATCCAATCTTCAATGGCAGATACTCTTTCCTTTCAAGGGAAAAAAAAACAGTATGGCATATTCTCTAACAAACCCAGAATTTCTAATATTTGCGTTCTTCCTTCCTTCTTTCCATCTTCCTTTCTCTTCTCTTCCCTTCCCTTGCCTTCTTCCTTCCTTTCTTCTTTTCCTCTTTCTTTTCTTTTCTCTTTTCCTTTCTTTCTTTTCTTTTTTCTCTTTCCTTCTTTCTTTCTCCTTATTCTTCCTTCCCTCCTCCCTCCCTTCCTTTATCCCTCCCTTCCTTTCTCCCTCCCTTCTTTTCTCTTATTCTTTCTTTCTCACTTTCTTGCTTTCTTTCTTTTTTCTCCCTTCCTCTTTCCTTTTCTTCCTTCCTCCCTCAGTTCCTTTCCTCCTTTTTCCTTTCTTCCTTCCTTACTTCCTTCCTTTTCCTCTTTATTTTCTTTATTTCTTTGCCTTCCTCCCTTTTACCATTCTCTCTTCCTCATTTCCTTCCTCTCTTCCTCCTTTCTTTCTCTCTCTTTTTTCTTTCTTTCTTTCTTTCTGTCTTTCTTTCTTGTGTTCTTGCTTTCTTTTTTCTCCCTTCTTGCCTTCCTCCCTCCCTCCCTTCCTTTCTTCTCTCATTTCCTCCTTTTCTTTCTTTCTTTCCTTCCTTCCTTCCTTCCTTCCTTCCTTCCTTCCTTCCTTCCTTCTTTCCTTCTTTCCTTGCTTTTCTTTCTTTCTTTCCTTTACTACAATTCTTATTATTTTAAGAAAATTAAGAGAGGGAGGCAGAAAAATAAAGAACACTTTAATCTGCAGGTAAATAGATTATGTCTGCTGTAGAAAAAAGAATGGCCTCCCAAAAATGTTCATGTCCTAATTCCCAGAGTCTAACACACAAATATGTTAGGTTGTGTGGCAGTGGGAAATTAGATTTCAAGTGAAATTAAGGTTGCAATAAAATGATGGAGAGATTTTCTTAAATGGTTGGGATCAATGAAATCACAAGCTTCCTTATAAGTGAAAGAAGAAGGCAGAAGAAAGGCAACCATGTAGGTGGTGGCATGAGAAATTACTCAACATCACTGACTTTTAAGATACAAGAATGAGGACCCAGCGCGGTGGCTCACGCCTAATCCCAGCACTTTGGGAGGCTGTGGTGGGTGGATCACGAGGTCAGGAGAGCGACACCATCCTGGCTAACATGGTGAAACCCCATCCCTCCTAAAAATACAAAAAAATAACTGGGCATGGTGGCACGTGCCTGTAGTCTAAGCTACTCAGGAAGCTGAGGCAGAAGAATCACTTGAACACGGGAAGCAGAGGTTGCAGTGAGCTGAGATCATGCCACTGCACTCCAGCCTGGGCGACAGAAGGAGACTCCATCTCAAGAAAAAAAAAAAGATATAAGAATGAGGTCATGTTCCAAAGAATAAAGGTGGCCTCTGGATGCTGAAAAAAATCAAGTACATAGATGTTGCCACAGAGCCCTCAGAAAGATTGCAGCCCTGCCCAAATCTTGATGTTAGCCCTGTGAGTCTCATTTAAGGCTTCTGAGCTCCAGTACTGTAGGATTACCAGTCACTTTATTGTAAGATATGAAGTTTGTGGTAATTGGTTACAGCAGCAAGAGGAAGTTTATATAGTAATTGTATCACGAAAATGAGAACCATAATTTACAACTGCTTTTAATACTGCACTTGGATGTTTGAAATCACATACATGGAAATGATCACTAGGTGTATGAGGGAGGATAGCAAATTGATGCCAAAATAACGCAAATGCAAATCTTACACTCATTTCTATGTAGGTTTCATTTAATGTTTGAAATTAAAATGAAATTAAAGGATTATGATATTTTGATGAAATTAGACTAACATGAACAATAACAAAATAAGCACTTATTTATATTCTTTATATGGTCAATAAAGAAGTGATAGTGGAAAAAAACAAGGTCAAATGAAGGTGATGATTTAGGAAGTTGGAAAGATAGCTGAAACTACAAAATGGTATATAACTAGTGAACACTTAGACACACTGATTGATGAACTTCAGCTTTTGGCTTGGTGAGAGCATAAAATGAGAGCAGCTGAGGTTTGCGAATTTGTAATCTCCTTGTGGAAAAAGAGGGGAAAACACATCTCAGTCTAACAAGATTTATCTACTAAAGAGTCAAGACTTCATCCATTTGTCCTTATAATTCAAAAGCTAATTCAAACACTGATTTGATGTATTGTGTGAACAACCATTGCTGATTATCATCGCATACCTGGCATTCTCTTTTATCTGATATCTAAAATACTTGATAATTCTTGGACTTTCTCTTTTCAAACCCAGTATGGTTTAGTTTCAATCTTAGAACAGTTGTCTTTAAGAAATTCTTCACTCTACTGCATCTGTGAATGGGCATAGCATGGTTACATACATACTGTCACCCCAGAGAACATTTGTTAAATTAAAGCCAAAGTTTAAAGCAACAGCTTTAACTCACTGGTTTTACTGATGTTTTCCTCCCCAATAGCCACAACAATATTGATACCCTCACACCTTTTCACATAAAGCTTGGTGTTGTCTATTTTTCAGGTGCTGTTATCTATATGATCTCAGTATTTTAAAAACCAGCTTCCAGCCGATATGGTGGCTCATGCTTGTAATACCAGCAGTTGAAGCTGAAATGAGCGGATTCTTTGAGCCCAGGAGTTCAAAAGCAACCTGGGCAACATAGCAAGACCCAGTCTCTAACAAAAGTTAAAAAAAAAAGGTGGGCATGGTGATGTGCACCTTTTGTCCTAGCTATTTGGGAGGCCAAGGTGGAAGGATTGCTTGAGCTTGGGAGGCTGAGGCTGCAGTGAGCAGTGATTGCACCACTGCACTCCAGCCTGGGCAACAAAGCAAGACCCTATCTCAAAAAATATATATAATAAAAATAAAAATCAGCTCTCATTGATTTCTACATAAATATGCACCGGTGATGTCCATATAGGCATAAATAATAATATATCTGACAATGGATCCATGTGATCTTCAAAATGTAAAATGCCTATCTGTGAAATTGACTGGTTAGTCTCATTAATGAATATAGACTCAATTCTACTTTCTTGTTCTAGATAAATTACATAATCTAGCTTTTCATTTCACTTATGTACTGATAACAACAAGAAGAATGACAAGATATCTGTTTTGGAAAATTACTTTCGTAGGAGTAAAGGTGAAACAATGATAGAATTGCATGGAAAACTAGAAAAAATATGGTCTTCTGATATTCTATTACATCATATACTAAAGGCCTCATAAAACTCAGATATTTTATCTAAAAATGTTATTTTCATCTTAGGAATGATCAAAGCATGAGACTAGAATTGTATTACAATGACTCTCACAAGCACATGTGCTAAAAAGGAGGGGAAAACATCATTACTGATATTTTAAACGTATGTTTTACTTTCCATCAACAGAAACCCTATTAAGCATTAAGCTTTATGGAGCAAAGACAAATCCAGTGGTGAAAGATACACACTCGAGTTCTGTTTGTTGTCTTGGAACAATACAGTTTAGAGGTGACTGGTGGATGAAGAGAACATATGCGAGTTCACCAAAGAGAAAAGCTGAATGAGGCAATGCCTCTTCCTGACCATACATCTTACTCAGATAACTATATAATTTATTGTCCAGTAAAGGGTATATTTAAAAATCATATTAAAAGTCATGCAATGAAGATGTCCAGGGAAATCAAGACTTAACAGTCTCACTCTGACAATAATGAATAGGGGGGTTCCCTCAAGATAGACTAGGACATGACCTCACACTGGCAGGTAGTAGTACCAGAAAAGAACCCATGGAAAATCTTTACCTTATGCTTGAGGTAGGGACCAGGCTAAAGTGAAAGCCCGACATAGAATTCTATCTAAAATATATCCACAATCGAAGAAAATATGTGGTGTACAGGCATAGAATGTCTTTACTGGATCATTCAAATAGTAAGATAATTCAGATTTTTACATTGTTTTCATTTCCTCCAGTTAGGGCTTGAGGTTTGTCTCTGGAGAGTGACTGTCAATTGGAGCCCTGCCTTTCTCAGGTTCTGGTCAGGAGGTTGTGGAAGCTTAACATGTGCCTTTCACAGGACACTTCCTTACCCCAGCAGTGGCCAGGTGTGCATCCCACGACCAGGCCTCCGTCTCACAGAACATCTGTAGAGACTAGGAGATGCCTGGTGGCTGTTGCCTGACCTGTGTCCTGTGTATTTCTGACAAGAGCCACTCTTAGAGACCCTGACCAGGAGGAGAGTTAGGTTCCAGTGTAGGTCAGCTCAGGCACATGGAGGCCACAGGACCAAACATGGGAAATCACAGAAGTAGTTTTATTACTCACAGACCCAGAGAGAAGAGGGTAGCTGAGAAGAGGGTTTAGCTGTGTCCCCAGCCAAATCTCATCTTGAATTCCCACATGTTGTGGGAGGGAACAGGTGGGAGGAAATTGAATCATGGGGGCAGGACTTTCCCATGTTGTTCTTCTGAGAGTGAATAAGTCTCACAAGATCTGATGGTTTTATAAAGGGGAGTTTCCCCTGCACAAGCTCTCTTGTCTTGTCTGCTGCCACATGAGACGTGCCTTTCACCTTCCACCATGATTGTGAGGCCTATGCAGCCATGTGGAACTGTGCATCTATTGAACTTCTTTCTTCTGGAAATTACCCAGTCTTGGGCATGTCTTTACCGGCAGTGTGAAAATGGACTAATACAGTAGCACACCTCATAGGGCTGAACAAAATGGAGAAGATGAGTGGGGAGCAAGAGAGATAAAAGGGGTCTGTGGGACTCTAGCCTTTATTCGGCCCAGAACATTACCCAAATAAATTTTCCACGGGGCTCTGGTCAGTGGGGTGAGTGCCAGCAGGCACATTTTTTGGCTGCAGCTGCAACTGAGCAGGTCACTCTGGCGTGTGGGGGCTGTCCATGTGGGCTGTGAGGTCTGTGGGGTGAGTCAGGTAGGTTGTATCCAACGGTTCCACAGCGGCTAGTCACCAGGAGGAGGCAGCTGTGTAGGGTCAATATCTGGGCCAGCCACACTGAGGAACTGTGAGGGTTAGAACTGGAAATTGTCAAGGGAATCTGAACCCAGCTACCATATGAGAGAGTTCAACTTATGTTCAATGTGAATGCCATGGCAATATTAAAAGGTAAGAATTCGCTCCATACGTGCTTGAGGTAAATAGGAGAAACCTAGAATTTATGTAAACAGTGAGAAGATTGGATGCGTTTTCCGTCATATAATTTAATACTAGCAGCATATTATATATGTCAATCCATCAGGCATTCAGAAGTACATGCTTATGAAAGTTTTTTGCACCATCAGACAAAAGACAGAGGTAGAAGACATTTTTAACCCTATAAACACTAGTAAATTAAAAACAGAAGAGCCTTTATGTCCTAATATATCTATGTTGTGAAAGGCTGCCCTGTGAAATACGGGATATCTGAAACATATTTTAAAAATCATAGGTGTCAATATTTTTTAGAAATTCATTTAAATTTTCTCTTGCTATTTTAGAATGCCTATTTATTTATTTAGTGGTTCTGCTGATTTTGATGTGTATCCTAAACCTTACACTTTCTTTAAAGTATGTTTTATAAAACTTTATGTAAAATGTTTCAGTATCTTCACATTCTCTCCCTGTCCTTTTATTTTGCTCTTATATGGTGGCCTTGAGTCTTTTCTCTGGCTTTTCAAACCTAGTAAGACTAAGACACCAAAGTAACTTTGCCCGTGGTTTGGTAATGCCTTCTAAAGCACATCCTAAACTCTCGTGCATACAGGGGTCTCCTTTGAGCTCTATGCTTTTGAGATCACATATACCTAAATTCCAGTACTCCAAATCATTACTGCTCAGTTTTAGTTGCTAAGTTTAAAAATGTATTTTAATAGCAAGTTAGTTTAGTGCATTCTTGCTTCTTTCTTTACTGCTGGTATACATGTATATTCCTTTAAATAAATCTTGGAATTTATTTAAAAATTTTAAATTATACTAATGAAACTGTATATTGTTGTGGATTCGTAGGTGAATTTGGAAAGAATTTGTCTTTATGATACTAAATCCTTTTTATCCAAGAATCATACGTGTTTTTATATTTATTCCACTCTATATTTATATCACTGAGTAAATATATAGAAATGTAGATACATACAGCTGTAGTTATAGATAGATACAAGTATAGATATAACATGTTAAATCTATATCTATCCCATATAACATATATGCATGTTATATGTGTGTGTATATATATATGTTTGTGTTAAAGAGCTCCCTTAAAATTTTTTTATTTCCTATATAATTTTAGGTTGAGCTTGAATTTTCCTTGTATAAACAAGCAAATATTTACACTAGTTTTAATACTGATGTTTAGACATTCTATCTTATTTTAGCATTGAATATTTTCACAATTATTATAAATATTATCTAATTAATAATGTAACTGTTAAAAGTATTTAAAATTGTACCTTTGAATTATTTTATTGTTGAATTTAAATTCCTTTAAGTATGATAGTAAATTACTATTTTATGCTTTCTCTATGCATATGCAAATTAATCTATCCACTTCTCTACCTCTATGTAGTAACATATGAAAATCAGGCCTCTGTTCTTCTAATGGACATACACATGTTTGCATATAGAATATCAGACTCTTTATAGTATTTAAAATCATTAAAGACGTGAATATGACCTTTTAACAAATATGTTTTAGCGTGTACTGAGAATCCCCTATTTTTTATTTGGGCTAATCAATATGATTATTAATATTATTGGATTACCAAATTTGGAATCACACTTTCATCCCCAAGGTGGATATTTGTTTTATTTTTTTGCCAATTTCTTGTCTTACTGTTTCAAATATTGTTGGATATTATTTTTTATTTGGCATTTTAGTATCAATATTTGTAAGTGATGTACTTTACATATTTTTTCTTCAGTATCTGGTGGGTTTTATAATTACTGCTATATTGTATTTGTAGTAGACATTGAGAAAAATTATTCCTGCATGTTTTATAGCTGTATGAAGGAAATTAATATATTTTATCCCAAAATATATTTCCTTGATATATTTCAAAATGGCTATTCAGAAGGGCTGGAAATGCAAACATAGCTGCAAAGCTGTCTTGGGGAGATTTGCATCGGTAGAGAATCTGCCTTGATGCAGCCAGGCTTTCTCTGAGATCTGCTCCCTTGTCTGGATCTAGGAAAGTTTAACTGAGCGTCTGAGGTCTCCAAAGGTCTGAAAGAAACATTTTCTGTCTATTCTCTCTGAGGACTGCTCCCAGTGAGGTTTCACCTACGTAATAAGTCCACTGTTGCTAGCCAGGGTCGTTTTCTCACATAACTTTTTTTTTTTTTCCCTGTGATCCAAGACCCCATTCTTTCTGTAAACTTCATGTGGTAGATAAGCTTCTGCTGGGTCTGGGTCTTCATTCTAAGGGCTCCAGTGTACGCACATTGCAGAAACCTGTATGCCTTTTCTACTATTTATCTGACTCCTATTAGTGATTTTCAGGGAAACTTCAGAAGGCAAAAGGGACATTCTCCTTTAGCCCATACTCAGACAAATTCCCCCAACATTTAATTGGTTCCTAATAGCTTAAAATCACTTTGAAAACTCCATATATTTATAACCTTTTCTTCCCTCTATGATTTCTGTACAGCTTGGGTTTTGTTTTTTATTCCATTTACTTCATCCTCAAAAAGATCTATTTTATGTCTATTTATTCTCATTTATGGACATTGAGAAAAGAAAATAACTTTCATGTGAGAAATGCAAGTCCTTTTAAATAATCAGGCCCAGAGAGATATTCAAATGAGACAGCAGTTCTGTCCTGCTCCTCTTTGAGCATCTAGGCTGCTTGCTGTTGCCACAGTAGCTATAAATTAACAAATAATGTCACACCAGACACTATAATCCACACCCAATAATGGTGTAACAGTGTATAGCCAGTCACTAATAAATGTTATTTCCATAAGCCAATGAGAATTTATGACAAACCTCTTTGCATCATCCCACTTCTGGACCCTTTTTTGCCTTTAAGAAACTGCTTGTTGCAAAGCTCCAAATGGAGTTCATATCCAAGGAAACTTGGGTCTGTTTCTTCCAGGTAGCTGTCCTCATTTTGGATCAAGTAAACTCTTTGAATTACGTTTTGTGCTTCAGCCCCTTCCACTTACATTAACAACATGGATTTGTGTCACCATGTACAACAATTAAAATGTTTACCCTTTTCCCCTCGAGGGCATTGATGTGTTTTCCTGAGCACTTGGAATAGCTGCATAGTGTTTACTTTCTAGATTATGGTTTCTCAACCTTGGTGCTACTTATCTTTAGGACTAGAGGATTCTTTGTTGTAGGAGGCTGCCCTAGCAATGCTAGGTGTTTCGTTTGACCTCTAAATTTCACACTTCCACCAGTCTTGACATCCCCACAATAACCCTAGACATTGACAATTGTCTCCTGGGGAAAACTCTCCACCAGTTGACAGCCAAAATTCTTGAAATATTGGAATAGTCAATTGAGTTTTTATGTTATCCAAAACAAATATTTTTCTTTGTTTTTAAACATCTACTTCCATCTACTTATCTACTTATTTTTACTTTTATTTGTAACTTAATTCCATCAAGGAGAGAGAGTGTATTTTCTGTTATGCTAAATTTTTGAAGAATGTATTGATTTTTTATGACCGGATATATGGATGATATGTAGATATTACATGTTTGTATTATCAAATTTCAGGGCGATAATAAAATAAATACTTATAGTATTTATATTGTCACTGTATATTAGTTATTTTCTTTCTTCGCTACAGGAGTTTTTCAACCTATAGGCTATTTTTCCATTCTAGGTTATCCAGTAGATTTTGAAATGTTATGATTAAATATCTACTTCTCAAGCATTCATCTTTGCAAAGGAATCAATCCCAAGCTCTTACAATGCACATCACATAAAGGGCACATTAGTCAATATATGGTTCAGAAATAATTATGTAATATTTATAAGAAAATTAAAAATTTAGATCCTTAACTCAGATAACAATAATCCAAATTAAAATTTGATTTCATTACATAATTTAAAATGACACCAGAATACTAGTAAAAATGTAGATAAGTTTATATAACCCTTTTTAGCTGTAGAACCTTATTAGCATAAATTCAAATACAGGAACCAAAGTAAGATTGAGACCTATAGTCAAAGGTTAAAATATACACATTATAGGGGCATGATTAAACTAATTTAAAACATAATAACATGGAGAAATATTGCAAAACATACATTTTACTGAATTAATTGTTAATCTCTAATCATTACCTGAGAACTAATGTAAAGAGTAGCTGTACGCACACCCACACACAAGTGCAATATTGTCAAATAAACGTGATGTTCAGCTACACTAGCAATCACACCTATGTTTTCTCCACAGAAGAGTAAAGATTAAAAATTACAATAATATTTATTGTACATATGGAGATAAAGATACTCAAAATATTACCCTAAAATACATTTTTTTTTTTTGAGATGGAGTTTTGCTTTTATTGCCCAGGCTGGAGTGCAATGGCACAATCTTGGCTCACTGCAACCTCAGCCTCCCAAGGTCAAGTTATTCTCCTAGCTCAGCCTCCCAAGTAGCTGAGATTACAGGCATGCACCACCACACTCGACTAATTTTTTGTATTTAGTAGAGACGGGGTTTCACCATGTTGGTCAGGCTGGTCTTGAACTCCTGACTTCAGGTGATCTACCCACTTCAGCCTCCCAAAGTGCTGGGATTACAGGCGTGCGCCTGGCCAACTTTTTGATGTATTTCAAGATGGCTACTCGGAAGACTGGAAATAGCTTCTTCTACAAGAATAGCTGAAAAGCTGTGTTTGTTGGGGAGATTTGCATTTGTAGAGAAAATCTGCATTGATATAGACAGGCTTTCCCTGAGATACTCCCTTGTCTGGGTTTAGGAAAGATTAACTGAGTCTGGCACGTTTACATTTCTAAAAACCATTTCCTATCTTTACTTCCCAAGAGGAGGGCTGCTCCCTGTGAGGTTTCATCCATGTAACAAGACCACCTCTGCTGCCAGGCTCCTCTTTCTTCCTTGTCATCACCTGCCTTCTGCAAAGCCTGATTTACCAAAGTACAGCTCTGTGTTTTCTGTAATCTCAAGACAACATAGGCGTGTTGACTACCTTGCCTTTCCTGGAGTTTTTATACATATATAGTATATATTTGTATATTGATTTATAATATAAAAATATTTGTATATATATATTTATGTATATTATGTAAACTCCAAGTGCGTACTTGTGCACATAATTATATTTGTAAACATTTTTTCCTGTTAGTTTGTACATTATCAATTTGTTTGATAGACTCAAATAATTAAAGCTTCAAGGGAAAAATTTAAACTTTCCTATAGAGAAAAGACAAATATATAGGTGACAAATAATATTTAGAGTGTAAGATGCTTTTTAAACGTATATTTGTAATTTGTGTCAAAACATTTAAATATACATTTGTTACTTTAACTATAAAATTTCAAATAATTTAACTAAATACATAGTATATGCAGAAAATTTAGCAATATTTCTATGTAACACCTTACTGTGCATTACTGTAACCAGCTGTCTAATATAAAGAACTAATTAAGGTAGCACCTACTTTTCAAATATCGCATTTTTTCACAGACCTATTAAATAAGACAAATAACATTTAAACTTTATTTTTAAATTTGCAGAATAGTATTTTTCAGCAGATGGTTTATTTTAGCAAATTCCATCTTCACATTGTGCTATGCTTTTATGAGTTCCAGCTGTTAACGGATAATATTTTACTGCTGAATCTATCATGTGTGATATAATTGCTCATTATGTACCTTAAAACACAAGCAATATAGTTATTTTCAACTTGGAGCAAATTAAAATCTTATCAGCAATTTTAAAAATCTAGAGTCGTCTTCTTCTGGTTAATTATTTTAAACTTGTATTTTTCTCTTTATGTTTTTAGTGAGTTGTCTTATCAAGGAGAACTCAAGCTGATTATTCTTTTGTTTTCTCTTCCATCCACCTCGCTGGTGTGTGAATAATTTCATTTCTCAAAAAATGTTCTTTCATATCCATCTTACAAGATGAGAGACCTTTTAACATCTTCCATTCAGATGTGATATCAGTAATGGAAAATATTCCAGCTTCATGAATATGGTGATACAAATAGCTATCCGTCTAACCTCTGTCAGTGCCAAATGTTTACTTTACTAAGTGAATTACTCAGCTGACTGGCAATTTCTTCTGAAATCACTAATGAGAAGATCAGAGGTCTGGCTGTTGTTTGTACCTCATATGACTCCCAGTGCAGACAATTGTTTCTATGGAGCACAGACAGTTGAATGGATTGACTTCCTGCCTAGAATAGTTTCTGCTGTGCTTCTTATCCTTCTTGTGGAGATTTCAGATTATCTGAATTGCTTTTCTGTCTTAAGAAAATACTCAACAATTCTCCCACCTGAGAGGAATGTAAACTGTAGTAAGTTAGCAGAACCAATCCGTAAAGTTTTTACATTGTTTGTTGTAAAATGCAGCGTTGGTGTCTCCATCACTAACCTTTTCTATCCCTCATTGCTCTTTCTTTGACTGCAATAGGATACCTCTAGGCAAATCTGTATTCCTGAGACAGAGTGCCCTTTCCGTTAGCTATAAGTACACTTCAATGGTAGGCTGAAATACTAGTTTTTATCTATGGCGAAATGGAATCATATCAGTGATTTTCTTTAAAAGGAAATTTAACTCTTGCTATGGTTTGAATGCTTGCCCCTTCCAAATCTCATGCTACACTGCTGCATATTGTCTCACGTAACAGTGAGTTTCTGGCTTTCTTATTTTAGTTTACCCTTTGTCCTTTAGTTTGTAAAGCTTCTATTTTTTTCCATAAATTTTCTGATGTTAGGGAAAAATCCATGACTTATTCTATCTCATGGAATTTTTATTTCAAATATTTATTTTTCATCTATACATGTCACATTTTTCTTTTTATAACTTCTATTTTTCTCCTATGATCAATTTTCAATTAACTACTTTGACATATATATGTATTTATCTATATGTATTTATAAAATATATTTACTTTAAGGACCTTGAAAATTCCTTCTTCTCTGTCATTTACAAATGACTTATTTTTATCCTGTTAATATATATCTTAATAATATATATCTTCCGGCTTCTTTGCATGTCAGAGTTTTTTTTTGGGTATTTTGATATTATGCTATTGAATATCTAGAATTTATTGGCTACCTTTGAACAATTTTGGGGCAGGCAGTTCAGTAACTTCAGGATGAGTATTTTTCTGTTTTTGTTTTAAATCTTCTCTTTAAACTTTGTTGAGTTAGTCTAGAGCCATCTGTCATTTGGAGCTAAATGAGCACTGTCACTGGGGCATGAACCTCCAGTGGTCTTTACTGAATATCCTGGAGGTACAGAGGGGATTCCCTTCTCTGGCTGGTCAGAGCTAACATGTCTTCCTGTTATGTGATGCCAGGGAAGTATTCTTCTTCCAACTCCCTGGTAGAGTCCTTTGCTGAGCTCCTTAGAATTTCATCCTATGTACATTTGACTTAGGGACTTGGGAGAAACCTTAGGCTGATTATTGGTTCCTTTTTCTGTAAACGTTCTCTTCTACTACACATTCCAGCTGCTTAACTTTTTTGATTTTTATCTGGTTCCTCAGTGCAATGACAATATCTCTCTCCCTGGGATTCCTCTCTACTGCTGTCACGGAGAACCTGGGAATAAAGCAGGACTCATTCTGGCTCCTTCTCTTCTCTTGCGGAGCACAGTACTGTGCTGCCTGATGTTCAGTACTTCAAAAAAAGTTTCATATATTTTGTCCAGTTTCCTATTCTTTAACTCTAAAAGAGTAACTCCAGTCCCAGTTACAGCATCATGTTCTGTAACTCTACTCCTTGTTGCTCCATTCTGCCATTGTCTGGTATGATTGCCCCTTTCCCTTCTGTAATCAGGCCAAGAGCATAATATAATACTAGTTATAACTGCACAGCTTGCCTCCGTTGTGTAAAAAAATCACTGAGACTTAACTGTGTCCAACTTTTAAAATGTGAATAGAAGTACAACTAAAGCTATATTTTGGTTAATATTTGCATTGCATGCTTTTCCATTATTTAGTTTCAACATATGTGAAATATAAATATAAATTATAAAAACTTTAAGAGAGTCTATTTAAAAATCTGGTCTGATTGTGTTTTAACTGGTTTATTACAAAGTGCATTCTTGAATTCAGGGGCTAATATAATTGGTACGTTTGTCTATTTGCAAAAAAACTTGACAATATTTTAAAATTAAATTATCCAACTCACAACTTACATGCTTCTGCTGTTGTATGGAAGATACATTTTAAACTTTATGAGATAGCATTCTGTTATACCGTCGATATCCAATTAAATTTCTCTCTATGTTTATTTCTTTCATTAAAAAAAAAGCGTTCTTCTAACTGCAAACTTTCATCAGGGATCATGGCTCTTCTACCTGAAGAATAATCTTTACTATTTCCTTTCCTGTGGGTCTGCTTGGGATAAATTCTTTATTGTATCTTTGCTTTTGATGGATATGTCCACCAAGTAGACACTTCTAGGACGGCACTTATTTTATTTCAGGACTTGAAAGGTATCAATACCTCACTTGTTGGCTTTCATTGTTTCATTTGACAAGGTTGTTATCAGTCAACTCTTTCTCTTTATAGTTAGCCCAATTTTTTTATCAAGTGCTCTTTACATTTTTATTTTACTTTTCAGAAATTGTCCCATTATGTTTCTAGGTGTGTCCTCTGTGTGTGTTTTCGTTTGGTTTGCAAAGCCTCCTGAACCTGTGATTTAATATTATTGGTCAATTTTGATAAAACCTCTAACATTGCCACTTAAAATGCTGTTCAGACCAGCTGTTTTCTTCTTCTTAGATTTCAACGTGTTAGATTATTACTGTATGTTTTATATTTTTTAAATGAGCTTTCTCTACTTTTTTTTTAGTTGGTTAATCTGTATTAGTGTATATTTTGCTTTTTTATTTTATTTTATTTTATTATTATACTTTAAGTTTTAGGATACATGAGCACAATGTGCAGGTTTGTAACATAAGTATTCATGTGCCATGTTGGTGTGCTGCACCCATTAACTCGTCATTTAGCATTAGGAATATGTCCTAATGTTATCCCTCCCCCTCCCCCAACCCCACAACAGTCCCCGAAGTGTGATGTTCCCCTTCCTGTCTCCATGTGTTCTCATTGTTCAATTCCCACCTATGAGTGAGAATATGCGGTGTTTGCTTTTTTGTCCTTGTGATAGTTTAGTGAAAATGATGATTTCCAGTTTCATCCATGTCCCTACAAAGGACAGGAACTCATCATTTTTTATGGCTGCATAGTATTCCATGGTGTATATGTGCCACATTTTCTTAATCCAGTCTATTGTTGTTGGACATTTAGGTTGGTTCCAAGTCTTTGCTATTGTGAATACTGCCGCAATAAATATACATGTGCATGTGTCTTTATAGCAGCATGATTTATAATCCTTTGGGTATATACCCAGTAATGGGATGGCTGGGTCAAATGATATTTCTAGTTCTAGATCCCTGAGGAATCACCACACTGACTTTCACAATGGTTGAACTAGTTTACAGTCCCACCAACAGTGTAAAACTGTTCCTATTTCTCCACATCCTCTCCAGCACCTGTTATTTCTTGACTTTTTAATGATTGCCATTCTAACTGGTGTGAGATGGTATCTCCTTGTGGTTTTGATTTGCATTTCTCTGATGGCCAGTGATGAGCATTTTTTTCATGTGTTTTTTGGCTGCATAAATGTCTTCTTTTGATAAGTGTCTGTTCATGTCCTTCGCCCACTTTTTGATGGGATTGTTTGTTTTTTTCTTGTAAATTTGTTTGAGTTCATTGTAGATTCCGGATATTAGCCCTTTGTCAGATGAGTAGGTTGTGAAAATTTTCTCCCATTTTGTGGGTTGCCTGTTCACTCTGATGGTAGTTTCTTTTGCTGTGCAGAAGCTCTTTAGTTTAATTAGATCCCATTTGTCAATTTTGTCTTTTGTTGCCATTGCTTTTGGTGTTTCAGACATGAAGTCCTTTCCCACGCCTATGTCCTGAATGGTATTGCCTAGGTTTTCTTCTGGGGTTTTTATGGTTTTAGGTCTAATATGTAAGTTTTTCATCCATCTTGAATTAATTTTTGTATAAGGTGTAAGGAAGGGATCCAGTTTCAGCTTTCTACATATGGCTAGCCAGTTTTCCCAGCACCATTTATTTAATAGGGAATCTTTCCCCATTGCTTGTTTTTGCAGGTTTGTCAAAGATCAGATAGTTGTAGTTATGTGGCATTATTTCTGAGGGCTCTGTTCTGTTCCATTGATCTATGTCTCCATTTTGGTACCAGTACCATGTTGTTTTGGTTACTGTAGCTTTGTGGTATAGTTTGAAGTCAGGTAGCGTGATGCCTCCAGCTTTGTTCTTTTGGCTTAGGATTGACTTGGTGATGCGGACTGTTTTTTGGTTCCATATGAACTTTAAAGTTGTTTTTTCCAATTCTGTGAAGAAAGACATTGGTAGCTTGATGGGGATGGCATTGAATCTATAAATTATCTTGGGCAGTATGGCCATTTTCATGATATTGATTCTTCCAACCTATGAACATGGAATGTTCTTCCATTTGTTTGTATCCTCTTTTATTTCATTGAGCAGTGGTTTGTAGTTCTCCATGAAGAGGAATTTCATGTCCCTTGTAAGTTGGATTCCTAGGTATTTTACTCTATTTGAAGCAATTGTGAATGGGAGTTCACTCATGATTTGGCACTCTGTTTGTTATTGGTGTATAAGAATGCTTGTGATGTTTGTAAATTGATTTTGTATCCTGAGACTTTGCTGAAGTTGCTTAACAGCTTAAGGATTTTGGGCTGAGACAATGGGGTTTTCTAGATACACAATCAAGTCATCTGCAAACAGGGACAATTTGACTTCCTCTTTTCCTAATTGAATACCCTTTGTTTCCTTCTCCTGCCTGATTGCCCTGGCCAGAACTTCCAACACTATGTGGAATAGGAGTGGTGAGAGAGGGCAACCCTGTCTTGTGCCAGTTTTCAAAGGGAATGCTTCCAGTTTTTGCCCATTCGGTATGATATTGGCTGTGGGTTTGTCATAGATAGCTCTTATTATTTTGAATTATGTCCCATCAATACCTAATTTATTGAGAGTTTTTAGCATGAAGGGTTGTTGAATTTTGTCAAAGGCCTTTTCTGCATCTATTGAGATAATCATGTGGTTTTTGTCTTTGGTTCTGTTTATATGCTGGATTACATTTATTGATTTGCGTATGTTGAACCAGCCTTGCATGCCAGGGATGAAGCCCACTTGATCATGGTGGATAAGTTTTTGATGTGCTGCTGGATTCGGTTTGCCAGTATTTTATTGAGGATTTTTGCATCAATGTTCATGAAGGATATTGGTCTAAAATTCTCTTTTTTTGTTTTGTCTCTGCGAGGCTTTGGTATCAGGATGATGCTGGCCTCATAAAATGAGTTAGGGAGGACTCCCTCTTTTTCTATTGATTGGAATCGTTTCAGAAGGAATGGTACCAGTTCCTCCTTTTACCTCTGGTAGAATTCGGCTGTGAATCCATCTGGTCCTGGAATCTTTTTGGTTGGTAAGCTTTTGATTATTGCCACAATTTCAGATCCTGTTATTAGTTTATTCAGAGATTCAACTTCTTCCTGGTTTAGTCTTGGGAGAGTGTATGTGTCGAGGAATTTATCCATTTCTTCCAGATTTTCTAGTTTATTTGCGTAGAGGTGTTTGTAGTATTCTCTGATCGTAGTTTGTATTTCTGTGGGATCGGTGGTGATATCCCCTTTATCATTTTTATTGCGTCTATTTGATTCTTCTCTCTTTTTTTCTTTAGTAGTCTTGCTAGCGGTCTATCAATTTTGTTGATCCTTTCAAAATACCAGCTCCTGGATTCATTAATTTTTTGAAGGGTTTTTTGTGTCTCTATTTCCTTCAGTTCTGCTCTGATTTTAGTTATTTCTTGCCTTCTGCTAGCTTTTGAATGTGTTTGCTCTTGCTTTTCTAGTTCTTTTAATTGTGATGTTAGGGTGTCAATTTTGGATCTTTCCTGCTTTCTCTTGTGGGCATTTAGTGCTATAAATTTCCCTCTAAACGCTGCTTTGAGTGTGTCCCAGAGATTCTGGTATGTTGTGTCTTTGTTCTCATTGGTTTCAAAGAACATCTTTATTTCCTGCCTTCATTTCGTTATGTACCCAGTAGTCATTCAGGAGCAGGTTGTTCAGTTTCCATGTAGTTGAGCGGTCTTGAGTGAGTTTCTTAATCCTGAGTTCTAGTTTGATTGCACTGTGGTCTGAGAGACAGTTTGTTATGATTTCTTTTCTTTTACATTTGCTGAGGAGAGCTTTACTTCCAACTATGTGGTCAATTTTGGAATAGGTGTGGTGTGGTGCTGAGAAGAATGTATATTCTGTTGATTTGGGGTGGAGAGTTCTGTAGATTTCTATTAGATCCACTTGGTGCAGAGCTGAGTTCAATTCCTGTGTACCCTTGTTAACTTTCTGTTTCATTTTTCTGTCTAATGTTGACAGTGCATTGTTAAAATCTCTCATTATTATTGTGTGGGAGTCTAAGTTTTTTTGTAGGTCACTCTGGACTTGCTTTATGAATCTGGGTGCTCCTATATTGGGTGCATATATATTTAGGATAGTTAGCTCTTCTTGTTGAATTGGTCCCTTTACCATTATGTAGTGGCCTTCTTTATCTCTTTTGATCTTTGTTGGTTTAAAGTCTGTTTTATCAGAGACTAGGATTGCAACCCCTGCCTTTTTTTGTTTTCCATTTGCTTGGTAGATCTTCCTCCATCCTTTTATTTTGAGCCTATTTGTGTCTCTGCATGTGAGATGGGTTCCTGAATACAGCACATTGTTAGATCACGACTCTTTATGCAATTTGCCAGTCTGTGTCTTTTAATTGGAGAATTTAGTCCATTTACACTTAAAGTTAATATTGTTATGTGTGAAATTGATCCTGTCATTATGATACTAGCTGATTATTTTGCTAGTTAGTTGATGCAGTTTCTTCGTAGTCTCGATGTTCTTTACATTTTGGCATGATTTTGCAGTGGCTGGTACTGGTTGTTCCTTTCCATCTTTAGTGCTTCCTTCAGGAGCTCTTTTAGGGCAGGCCTGGTGGTGACAAAATCTCTCAGCATTTGCTTGTCTGTAAAGTATTTTATTTCTCCTTCACTTATGAAGCTTAGTTTGGCTGGATATGAAATTCTGGGTTGAAAATTCTTTTCTTTAAGAATGTTGAATATTGGCCCCCACTCTATTCTGGCTTCTAGAGTTTCTGCCAAGAGATCTGCTGTTGGTCTGATGGGCTTCCCTTTGTGGGTAACCCGACCTTTCTCTCTGGCTGCCCTTAACATTTTTTCCTTCCTTTCAACTATGGTGAATCTGACAATTACGTGTCTTGGAATCACTCTTCTCGAGGAGTATCTTTGTGTTGTTCTCTGTATTTCCTGAATCTGAATGTTGGCCTGCCTTGCTAGATTGGGGAAGTTCTCCTGGATAATATCCTGCAGAGTGTTTTCCAACTTGTTTCCATTCTCCCCGTCACTTTCAGGTACACCCATCACACGGAGATTTGGTCTTTTCACATAGTCTCATATTTCTTGGAGGTTTGTTTGTTTCTTTTTATTCTTTTTTTCTCTAAACTTCCCTTCTCACTTCATTTCATTCATTTCTTCTTCCATCACTTATACCCTTTCTTCCAGTTGATTGCATCGGTTCCTGAGGCTTCCACATTCTTCAAGTAGTTCTCGAGCCATGGCTTTCAGCTCCATCAGCTCCTTTAAGCACTTCTCTGTATTGGTTATTCTAGATATACATTCGTCTAAATTTTTTTCAAAGTTTTTAACTTCTTTGCCTTTGGTTTGAATTTCCTCCTGTAGCTTGGAGCAGTTTGATCGTCTGAAGCCTTCCTCTCTCAACTCGTCAAAGTCATTCTCCACCCAGCTTTTTTCCATTGCTGCTGAGGAACTGTGATCCTTTGGAGGAGGAGAGGTGCTCTGCTTTTTAGAATTTCCAGTTTTTCTGCTCTGTTTTTTCCCCATCTTTGTGGTTGTATCTACTTTTGGTCTTTGATGATGGTGATGTACAGATGGGTTTTTGGTGTGGATGTCCTTTCTGTTTGTAAGTTTTCCTTCTAACAGACAGGACCCTCAGCTGCAGGTCTGTTGGAGTTTCCTAGAAGTCCACTGCAGTCCCTGTTTGCCTGGGTATCAGCAGCGGTGGCTGCAGAACAGCAGATTTTCATGAACCGCGAATGCTGCTGTCTGATCATTCCTCTGGAAGTTTTGTCTCAGAGGAGTACCCGGCTGTGTGAGGTGTCAGTCTGCCCATACTGGGGGGTGCCTCCCAGTTAGGCTGCTTGGGGTCAGGGGTCTGGGACCCACTTGAGGAGGCAGTCTGCTCGTTCTCAGATCTCCAGCTGTGTGCTGGGAGAACCACTGCTCTTTTCAAAACTGTCAGACAGGGACATTTAATCTGCAGAGGTTATTGCTGTCTTTTTGTTTGTCTGTGCCCTGCCCCCAGAGGTGGAGTCTAAAGAGGCAGGCAGGCCTCCTTGAGCTGTGGTGGGCTCCACCCAGTTCTAGTTCCTGACTGCTTTGTTTACCTATGCAAGCCTGGGCAATGGCAAGCGACCTTCTCCAAGCCTCACTGCCGCCTTGCAGTTTGATCTCAGACTGCTGTGCTAGCAATCAGTGAGACTCCGTGGGCGTAGCACGCTCTGAGCCTGGTGTGGGATATAATCTCCTGGTGCACCGTTTGTTAAGACCATCGGAAAAGTGCAGTATTAGGGTGGGAGTGATGTGATTTTCCAGGTGCCGTCTGTCACCCCTTTCTTTGACTAGGAAAGGGAACTCCCTGACCCCTTGCACTTGCCAAGTGAAGCAATGCCTCGCCCTGTTTCAGCTCATGAACTGTGTGCTGCACCCACTGTCCTGCATCCACTGTCTGGCACTCCCTAGTGAGATGAACCCGGTACCTGAGATGGAAATGCAGAAATCACCCATCTTCTGCGTTGCTGACCCTGGGAGCTGTAGACAGGAGCTGTTCCTATTCGGTCATCTTGGCTACCCTTGGTAGTTTCTTTTCCCTCTGCTTCTGAGTTCTGAGAGTTTGTCACTAACATAGGATTCCAGAACACTGCTGCAGGGTTCTGAGTGATTGTCCCTCACATGGGATTCGAAAACAGTCCTGCTGGGTTCAGAGTGTTATCCCTCACATACGATTCCAGAACACTGCTACGAGTTTCTGAATGTTTGTCCCTCACAAAGGATTCCAGAACACTGCTGCTGGGTTCTGAGTGTTTGTCCCTCACATAGGATTCCAGAACACTGCTGCTGGGTTCTGAGTGTTTGTCCCTCACATACGATTCCAGAACTCTGCTACGAAGTTCTGAATGTTTGTGGCTCACATAGGATTCCAGAACACTGCTGCTGGGTTCTGAGTGTTTGTCCCTTATATTGGATTCCAGAACAATGTTACGAGGGTCTGAATGTTTTTCCCTCATGTAGGATTCAAGAACACTGCTAAGAGGGTCTCAATGTTTTTCTCTCACAAAGGATTGCAGAACTCTGCTGCTGGGTTCTGAGTGTTTGTCCCTCATATAGGATTCCAGAACACTGCTATGAGGGTCTGAATGTTTTTCCCTCACAAAGGATCCCAGAACACTGCTGCTGGGTTCTGTTTGTTTGTCCCTCACAAAGGATTCCAGAGCACTGCTGCTGGTTTCTTAGTGTTTGTTCCACACAGGATTCCAGAACACTTCTGCGATGGTCTGAATATTTGTCCCTCAGATAAGATTCCAGTACACAGTGGCTGGGTTCTGAGTGTTGGTCCCTCACATAGGATTCCAGAACACTGCTTCTGGGTTCTGAGTGTTTGTCACTCACATAGGATTCCAGAACACTGCTTCGAGGTTCTGAGTGTTTGTCCCTCACAAAGGATGCTAGAACACTGCTGCTGGTTTCTGAGTGTTTGTCCCTCACACAGGATTCCAGGAAACTGCTATGAGCTTGTGAAGGCTTGTCCATAACAAAGGATTCCAGAGCACTGCTGCTGGTTTCTGAGTGTTTGTCCCTCACACAGGATTCCAGAAAACTGCTATGAGCTTGTGAAGGTTTGTCCATAACAAAGGATTCCAGAGCACTGCTGCTGGATCTGAATGCTTGTCCTTCACACAGGATTCCAGAACACTGCTTCAAGGGTCTGAGTGTTTGTCCCTCACAGAGGATTCCAGACCACTGCTCCTAGGTTCTGAGTGTTGGTTCCACATATAGGATTCCAGAAAACAGCTACAAGGCTATGAAAGTTTGTCTCTCACAAAGGATTGCAGAAAAGTGCTGCTGGGTTCTGAGTGTTTGTCCCTCACATAGGATTCCAGAACACTGCTGCTGGTTTCTGAGTGTTTGTCCCTCACATTGGATTCCAGAACACTGCTGTTGGGTTCTGAGTGTTGTCCCTCACATAGGATTCCGGAAAACTGCTGCTGGGATCTGAGGGATTGTCCCTGTCATTGAGTATGAGAACACTGCTGCTGGGTTCTGAAGGTTTGTCCTTCACGTAGAATTCTAGAACTCTGCTGCTGGGTTCTGAGCGTTTCTCTATCACATGAGATTCCGGAACACTGCTAAAATGTAGGAATGCTTGTCCCTCACAAAGATTCCAGAGCACCGCTTGTGGGTTCTGAGTGTTTGTCCCTCACATAGGATTGCAGAACACAGCTGCTAGGTTCTGAGGGTTTGTCCCAAACGTAGGATTCCAGGACACTGCTTGGAGGGTTTCAAAGTTTGTTCCTCACCAAGGATTCCAGAACACTGCTGCTGGGTTCTGAATGTTTGTCCCTCACATACTATTCCGGAACACTGCTATGAGAGTCTGAATGTTTGTCCCTCAAAGGGATTCCAGAACACTGCTTTTGAGTTCTGAGTGTTTGTCTGACACAAAGGATTCCAGAACACAGCTGCTGGCTTCTGAGTGTTTGTCCCTCACATAGGATTTCAGAACACTGCTATGAGGGTCTGCATGTTTTTCCCTCAGAAAGCATTCTGTATCAATGCTAAGAGTGTCTGAATGCTTGTCCTTCACATAGGATTCCAGAACACTGCTACTGGGTTCTGACTGTTGGTCCTTCACATAGGATTCCAGAACACTGCTCCGAGGCTCTGAATGTTTGTCCCTCACATAGGATTCCTGAACATTTGCTGCTGGTTTGTGATTGTTTGTCCCTCATATGGGATTCCAGAACACTTCTGCTGGGTGCTGAGTGTTTGTCCCTCATATAGGATACCAGAACACTGCTATTGGGTTCAGAGTGTTTGTCCCTTACATAGGATTCCAGAAAACTTCTAAGAGTTTCTGAGTGTTTTCCTTCAGATAGGATTCCAGAACACAGTGGCTGGGTTCTGAGTGTTTGTCCCTGACATAGGGTATCAGAACACTGCTGCTGGGTTCTGAGTGTTTGTCCTTCACATAGGATTCCAGAACACTGCTGCTTTGTTCTGAGTGTTTCTCCCTCACATAGAATTCTAGAACACCACAGCTGGTTTCTGAGCGTTTCTCCTTCACTTAGGATTCCAGAACACTGCTATGATTGTCTGAATGTTTGTCCTTTACCAACTATTCCAGAAGACTGCTGCTGGGTTCTGAGTGTTTCGCCTTCACAATGGTTTCCAGAACACTTCTACGAGGGTCTGAATGTCCCTCACATAGGATTCCAGAACACCGCTATGAGGGTCTGAATGTTTGTCCCTCATAAAGGATTCCTTATCACTGCAACGAGTACCTGAATGCTTGTCACACACATAGTATTCCAGAACACTGCTACTGGGTTCTGAGTGTTTGCCCTTCACAAAAGATTCCAGAACTCTGTTCCGAGGGTTTGAATGTTTGTCCCTCACATAGGATTCCAGAACACTGCTACGAGGGTCTGAATGTTTGTCCCTCACAAAGGATTCTGTATCACTGCAATGAGTACCCGAATGCTTGTCACACACATAGCATTCCAGAACACTGCTACTGGGTTCTGAGTGTTTGTCCTTCACAAAGGATTCCAGAACTCTGCTCCGAGGGTCTGAATGTTTGTCCCTCACATAGGAATCCAGAACACTGCTGCTGGTTTGTGAGTGTATTTCTCTCACATAGGATTCCAGAACACTTCTGCTGGGTTCTGAGTGTGTGTCCCTCATATCGAATACCAGAACACTGCTGCTGGTTTCTGAGTGATTGTCCCTCACATAGAATTCCAGAACGCTGCTGCTGGTTTCTGAGTGATTGTCCCTCACATAGAATTCCAGAATGCTGCTGCTTGGTTCTGACGGTTTGTCTGTCACATAGAATTCCAGAACACTGCTGCTGAGTTCCGAGGGTTTATTCCTCACATAGGATTCCAGAACACTGCTACGAGGGTCTGAATGTTTGTCCCTCACAGAGCATTCCAGACCGGTGCTACCAGGGTCTGAATGCTTGTCTCTCACACAGGATTCCAGATCACTGCTGCAGGGTTCTGAATGTTTTTCCCTCACATATGATTCCTAAACACTGCTTCTGGGTTCTGAGTGTTTGCCCCTCACATTGGATTCCAGAACACTGCTGCTGGGTTCTGAATGTCTGTCCCTCACATAGGATTCCAGATCACTGCTGCTGGGTTCTGAGTGTTTGTTCTTCACAGAAGATTCCAGACCACTGCTGCTGGGTTCTGAGTGTTTGTTCTTCACAGAGGATTCCAGACCACTGCTGCTGGGTTCTGAGTGTTTATCTCACACATAGGATTCTAGAACACTGATACAAGGGTATGAAAGTTTGTCTCTCACAAAGAATTGCAGAAAAATGCTACTGGGTTCTGAGTGTTTGTCCCTCACATAATATTCCAGAACACTGCTGCTGGGTTCTGAGTGTTTGTCCTTCACATTGGATTCCAGAACACTGCTGCTGGGTTCTGAGTGTTTGTCCCTCACTTAAGATTCCAGAAAACTTCTGCTGGGATCTGAGGGATTGTCCCTGTCATTGAGTTCCAGAACACTGCTGCTGGGTTCTGAGGGTTTTTCCCTCACATAGCATTGCAGAATACTGATGCTAGGTTCTGAGGGATTGTCCCTCATGTAGAATTCTAGAACTCCGCTGCTGGGTTCTGAGGGTTTCCCCATCACATGGGATTCCGGAACATGGCTACAAGGGTCTGAATGTTTGTCCCTCACAAAGATTCCAGAGCACCGCTTGTGGGTTCTGAGTGTTTGTCCCTCACATAGGATTGCAGAACACAGCTGCTGGGTTCTGAGTGTTTGTCCCAAACGTAGGATTCCCGAACACTGCTCAGAGGTTCTGAAAGTTTGTTCCTCACCAAGGATTCCAGAACACTGCTGCTGGGTTCTGAATGTTTGTCCCTCACATACTATTCCGGAACACTCCTACGATGGTCTGAATGTTTGTCCCTCAAAGGGATTCCAGAACACTGCTTTTGAGTTCTGAGTGTTTCTCCCACACAAAGGATTCCAGAACTCTGCTGCTGGCTTCTGAGTGTTTGTCCCTCACATAGGATTCCAGAAGACTGCTACGAGGGTCTGTATGTTTGTCCCTCAGAAAGCATTCTGTATCACTGCTGCAGTGTCTGAATTCTTTTCCCTCACATTGGATTCCAGAACACTGCTATTGGGTTCTGACTGTTTGTCCTTCACATAGCATTCCAGAACACTGCTCCAAGGGTCTGCATGTTTGTACCTCACATAGGATTCCAGAACACTGCTGCTGTTTTGTGAGTATTTGTCCATCACTTAGGATTCCAGAACACTTCTGCTGGGTTCTGAGTGTGTGTCCCTCATATAGGATACCAGAACACTGCTGCTGGGTTTTGTGTGTTTGTCTCTCACGTAGCATTCCAGAACACTGCTGCTGGGTTCTGAGTGTTAGTCCCTCACGTACCATTCCAGAACACTGCTGCTAGGCTCTGAGGGTTTTTCCCTCTCATAGAATTCCAGAACACTGCTGCTGAGTTCTGAGGGTTTGTACCTCACATAGGATTCCAGAACACTGCTTCGAGGATCTGAATGTTTGTCACTCACAGAGCATTCCAGAACAGTGTTATGAGGGTCTGAATGCTTGTCCCTCAGATAGGATTCCAGAACACTGCTGCAGGGTTCTGAGTGTTTGTCCCTCACATAGGATTCCAGAACACTGCTCTGAGTGTCTGAATGTTTGTCCCTCACAAAGGATTCCAGAACACTGCTGCTGCGTTCTCTGGGTTTGTCCCTCACATAGAATTCCCGAACAGTGCTGCTGGATTCTGAGTGCTTGTCCCTCTCATAGGATTACAGAACACTGCTGCTGTTTTCTGAGTGTTTGTCCCTTACATACGATTTCAGAACACTGCTACGGGGGTCTGAATATTTATTCCTCATATAGCATTACAAACAGTGGTATGAGTGTCTGAATGTTTGTCCCTCACAATTGAATCCAGAACACTGCTGCTGGTTTCTGAGGGTTTGTCCTTCACCTAGAATTCCCGAGCACTGCTGCTGGGTTCTGGGTATTTGTTCCTCACATAGGATTCCAGTACACTGCCGCTGGGTTCTGAGTGTTTGTCCCTCACATAGGATTGCAGAACACTGCTACGAGGGTCTGAATGTTTGTCCCTCAGATAGGATTCCAGAACACTGCTGCTGGGTTGTGTGTGTTTGTCACTCACATAGAATTCCAGAACACTGCTACGAGTGTCTCAATGTGTGTCCCTCAGATAGAATTCCAGAATAGTCCTGCTCCGGTCTGAATGTTTGTCCCTCACATATGATTCCAGGACACTGCTGCTGTGTTCTGCGTGTTTGTCCCCCACATAGGACTCAAGAACACTCCTGCTGTCGTCTGAACATGTGTCCTTCACAAAGGATTCCAGAACACTGCTACAAGCCTCTGAATTGTTGTCCCCCACAGAGGATTCCAGAACACTGGTACAAGGGTCTGAATGTGAGTTCCTCACATAGGATTCCAGAACACTAATGCTGGGTTCTGAATGTCTGTCCCTCACCTAGGATTGCAGAACACTGATACGAGGTTGTGAATGTTTTTCCCTCAGAGAGGATCAAAGAACACTGCTGCTAGCGTCTGAAATTTTGATGATCACGTAGGATTCCAGAACTCTCCTGCTCTGGTCTGTATGTTTGTCCCTCACATAGGATTCCAGAACACTGCTAAGAGGGTCTGAATGTTTGTCCCTCACAAAGGATTCTAGAACACTGCTGCTGGGTTCTGAGTGTTTGTCCCTCACATAGGATTCCAGAACACTGCTATGAGGGTCTGAATGTTTATCCCTCACGGAGGGTTCCAGAACACTGTTACTGGATTCTGAGTGTTTGTCCCTCATATTGGATTCCAGAACAATGCTACGAGGGTCTGAATATTTTTCACTCACATAGGATTCCAAAACACTGTTACGAGGGTGTGAATGTTTTTCCCTCCCAAAAGATTCCAGAACACTGCTGCTGGGTTCTGAGTGTTTGTCCCTCATATAGGATTCCAGAACACTGCTATGAGGGTCTGAATGTTTTACCTCACATAGGATTCCAGAACACTGCTACGAGGGTCTGAATGTTTTCCCTTACAAAGGATCTTAGAACACTGCTACTGGGTTCTGTTTGTTTGCCTCTCACAAAGGATTCCAGAGCACTGCTGCATATTTCTTAGTGTTTGCCCCTCATATAGGATTCCAGAACACTTCTCCGAGGTTCTGAATGTTTGCCCTCAGATAGGATTCCAGTACACTGTGGCTGGATTCTGAGTGTTTGTCCCTCACATAGGATTCCAGATCACTGCTACGAGGTTCTGAATATTTGTCCCTCACAAAGGATTCTAGAACACTGCTACTGGTTTCTGAGTGTTTGTCCCTCACAAAGGATTCTAGAACACTGCTTCCGGGTTCTGTATGTTTGTCCCTCACATAGGATGCCAAAACACTGATGCTGGGTTCTGAGTGTTTGTCCCTCACTTAGCATTCCAGAACACTGCTGCTGGCTTCTGAGTGTTTGTCCCTCACATACAATTCCAGAACACTGCTAAGAAGTTCTGAAGGTTTGTCGCTCACATAGGATTCCAGAACAGAGCTGCTGTGTCCTGATTGCTTGTCCCTTACAAAGGATTCCAGAACACTGATGCTGGGTTCTGAGTGTTCGTCTATCACATAGGATTCCAGAACACTGTGGCTGGGTTCTGAGTGTTTGTCCCTCACATAGGATTCCAGATCACTGTTGCTGGGTTCTGAGTGTTTGTCCCTCACATAGGGTTCCAGAACAGTGCTGCTGGGTTCTTCGTGTTTGTACCTCATATAGGATTCCAGAGCACTGCTACGAGGCTCTGAATGCTTGTCCCTTACATAGGATTCCAGAACACTGGTTTGAGACTCAATATTTGTCTCTCATGAAAGATTGCAGACAACTGCTGCTGGGTTCTGAGAGTTTGTCCTTCACTTAGGAATCCAGAACACTGATTCTGGGTTCTGAATATTTGTCATTCACATAGGATTCCAGAACAGTGCTGCTGGCTTCTGAGTGATTGTCCCGCACGTAGGATTCCAGAACACTGCTACGAGGGTCTGAATGTTCTTCACTCACAAAGGCTTCCAGAACACTGCTGCTGGTTTCTGTTTGTCCCTCACAAAGGATTCCAGAGCACTGCTGCTGGTTACTTAGTGTTTGTTGCGCACATAGGATTCCAGATCACTTCTGCGAAGGTCTGAATGTTTGGCCCTGAGATAGGATTCCAGTACACACTGGCTCGGTTCTGAGTGTTTGTACCACACACTGGATTCCAGAACACTGCTGCTGGGTTCTGAGTGTTTGCCCCTCACATAGGATTCCAGAAAACTGCTACGAGGACCTTAATGTTTGTCCATCATAAAAGATTCCAGAACAATGCTACTGGATCTGAGTGTCCCTCACATAGGATAACAGAACACTGCTTCGAGAGTCTAAATGTTTGTCCCTCACAAAGGATTCTAGAACACTGCTGCTGGTTTCTGAGTGTTTGTCACTCACGTAGGATTCCAGAACACTACTGCTGAGTTCTGAGGCTTTGTACCTCACATAGTATTTCAGAACATTGCTACGAGGTTCTGAATGTTTGACCCTCACAGAGAATTCCAGAACAGGGCTATGAGGAGCTGAATGCTTGTCCCTCACATACGAATTCAGAGCACTGCTGCAGGGTTCGGAGTGTTTATCCCTCACATAGGATTACAGAGCACTGTTCTGAGCGTCTGAGTGTTTGACCCTCACAAAGGATTGCAGAACACTGCTGCTGGGCTCTGAGTGTTTGTCCCTCACATAGGATTCTAGAACACTGCTGCAGCTTTCTTAGTGTTTGTCTCTCACATAGGATTCCAGAACACTGCTATGAGGATCTGAATGTTTGTCCCTCACAAAGGTTTCCAGAATGCTGCTGCTGGGTTCTGAGTGTCCCTTACATAGGATTCCAGAACTCTGCTGCTGGGTTCTGTTTGTTTGTCCCTCACAAAGGAATCCAGAGCACTGCTGCAGGTTTCTGAGTGTTTGACCCTCACATAGGATTCCAGAACACTGCTGCGGCTTTCCGAGTGTTTGTCCCTCACATAGGATTCCAGAACAGTGCTGCTGGGTTCTAAGTGTTTGTTCCTCACATAGGATTCCAGAACACTGCTGCTGCGTTCTGAGTGTTTGTCCCTCACATAGGATTCCAGAACACTGCTGCTGCGTTCTGAGTGTTTGTCCCTCACATAGGATTCCAGAACACTGTTATGATTGTCTGAATGTTTGTCCCTCACAAATTATTCCAGAGTACTGCTGCTGGGTTCTGAGTGTTTGTCCCTCACATAGGATTCCAGAACAGTGCTGCTGGGTTCTGAGCGTTTGTCCCTCACATAGGATTCCAGAACACTGATACTAAGGTCTGAATGTTTGTCCCTCAGATAAGATTACAGAACACAGCTACGAGGGTCTGAATGATTGTCCCTCACATAGGATTCCAGAACACAGTGGCTGGGTTCTGAGTGTTTGTCCCTCATATAGGATTTCAGAACACTGCTACGAATTTCTGAATGTTTGTCGCTCACAGAGGATTCCAGAACACTGTGGCTGGGTTGTGTTTGTCCCCCACATAGGATTCCAGAATACTGCTGGTGGGTTCTGAGTGTTTGTCCCTCACATAGGATTCCAGAACACTGCTACGAGGGTCTGAATATTTTTGCCTCTCAAAGGAATCCAGAACACTGCTGCTCAGTTGTGTTTGTTTGTCCCTCACAAGGGACTCCAGTGCACTGCTGCAGGTTTCTGAGAGTTTTTCCCTCACATAGGATTCCAGAACACTTCTACGAGGGTCTGAATGTTTGTATCTCACAGTGGAATCTACAAAACTGCTGCAGGGTTCTGAGTGTTTCTCACTCATATAGGATTACAGAAGACTGCTGCTGGGTTCTGAGAGTTTATCCCTCACATGGGATTCCAGAACACAGCTGCTGGCTTCTGAGTGTTTATCCCTCACATAGGATTGCAGAACACTGCTACGAGGGTCGGAATGTTTGTCCATCACAAAGGACTCCGGAATATTGCTGCTGGGTTCTGAGTGTTTGTCCATCACATAGGATTCCAGAACACTGCTTCAAGGCTCTGAATGTTTTTCCCTCTCAAAGGATTCTAGAACACTGCTGCTGGGTTCTGAGTGTTTGTCCCTCACATACGATTCCAGAACACTGCTGTGAGGTTCTGAAACTTTGTGCATCACAAAGGATTCCAGAACACAGCTGCTGTGTTCTGAGTGTTTGTCCCTCACATAGGATTCCAGAACTCTGCTACTGGGTTCTGAGTGTTTGTCCCACACATAGCATTCCAGAACAATCCTGCTGGGTTCTGAGTGTTTTTCCCTCACATAGGGTTCCAGAGCACTGCTGCTGAGTTCTGAGTGTTTGTGCCATATATAGAATTCCAGAACAATGCACGACGGTCTGAATGTTTTTCCCTCACATAGGATTCCAGAACACTGCTGAGTGTCTGAATGTTTGTCTCTCACAAAGGATTCCAGAGCACTGTTGCTGGGTTCTGACTGTTTGTCCCTCATATAGGATTCCAGAACACTGCTACGAGGGTTTCAATGTTTTTCCCCCACAAAGGCTTCCAGAACACTGTGGCTGGTTTCTATTGTTTGTCCCTGTCAAAGGATTCAGGAGCACTTCTGCTGGTTTCTTAGTGTGTCACGCACATACGTTTCCAGAACACTTCTATGATTTTCTGAATGTTGTCCCTCACAAAGAATTCCAGAAAACTGCTGCTGGGTTCTGAGTGTTTGTCCCTCACATAGGATTCCAGAACTCTCCTGCTGGGTTCTGTTTGTTTGCCCCTCACAAAGGGATCCAGAGCACTGCTGCTGGTTTCTGAGTGTTTGTCCCTCACTCAGGATACCAGAACACTGCTACGATGGTCTGAATATTTGTCCATCACAAAGGATTCATAACACTGCTATGGGTTCTGACTGTCCCTCACAATGGATTCCAGAAAACTGCTTTGAGAGTCTCAATGTTTGTTCCTCACAAAGTATTCCAGAGCACTGCTGCAGGGTTCTGTGTATTTGTCCCTCACATGGGATTCAAAAACACTCCTGCTGGGTTCAGAGTGTTTTCCCTCACATAAAATTCCGGAACACTGCTAAAGGTTCTGAATGTTTGTCCCTCACAAAGGATTCCAGAACACTGCTGCTGGATTCTTAGTGTTTGACCCTCACATAGGATTCCAGAACACTGCTGCTGGGTTCCGAGTGTTTCTCCCTCACATAGGATTCCAGAACACTGCTGCTTGGTTCTGAGTGTTTGTCCCTCACATAGCATTCCAGAACACAGGTACGAAGTTCTGAATGTTTGTCGCTCAAATAGGATTCCAGAACAATGCTGCTGGGTTCTGAATGTTTGACACTCACATGGGATTCCAGAACACTGCTGCTGGGTTCTGAGTGTTTCTCCCTCACATAGGATTCAAGGAAACTGTTTCTGGGTTCTGAGTGTTTGTACCTCACATAGGATTCCAGAACACTGCTTCGAGGGTCTGAATGTTTTTCCCTCACAAAAGCACTCCAGAACACTGTTGCTGGGTTCTGAGTGTTTGCCCCTCATATAGGATTCCAGAACAATGCTACGAGTATCTGAATGTTTTTCCCTCACGTAGGATTCCAGAACATTACTAAGAGTATCTGAATGTTTTTCCCTCACAGAGTATTCCAGAACACTTCTGCTGGATCTGAGTGTTTGTCCCTCACATAGGATTCCAGAACACTGCTGCTGGGTTCTGAGTGTTTGTCCCTCACCTTGGATTCCAGAAAACGGCTATGACGGTCTGAATTTTTGTCCATCACAAAGGATTTTAGAACACTGTTGCTGGATCTGAGTGTTTGTCCCTCACACAGGATTCCAGAACACTGTTTCGATGGTCTGAATGTTTGTCCCTCACAAAGGATTCTAAAACACTGCTGCTGGTTTCTTAGTGTTTGTCACTCACATAGGATTCCAGAGCACTGCTGCTGGGTTCTGAGTGTTTGTCCCTCACATGGGATTCCAGTACACAACTGCTAGGTTCAAAGTGTTTGTCCCTCACATACGATTCCAGAACACTGCTACGAGGTTCTGAATGTTTGTCCCTCACAAATGATTGCAGAACACTGCTTCTGAGTTGTGAGCGTTTGTCTGTCAAATAGGATTACAGTACACGGCTGTTGGGCTCTATTTGTTTGTCCGTCACAAAGGATTCCAGAACACTGCTATAGGTTTCTGAGTGTTTGTCCCTCACATAGGATTCCAGAACAATTCTACGAGGCTCCGAATGTTTGTCCTTCAGATAGGATTTCAGAACACAGTGGCTGGGTTCTGAGTGTTTGTCCCTCACATAGGGTATCAGAACACTGCTGCTGGGATCTGAGTGTTTGTCTTTCACAGAGGATTCCAGAACACTGCTGCTTTGTTCTGAGTGTTTGTCCCTCACATAGAATTCCAGAACACTGCCGCTCGGTACTGAGGGTTTGTCCCTTACATAGAATTCTAGAACACTGCAGCTCATTTCTGAGTGTTTGTCCCTCACTTAGGATTCCAGAACAATGCTGCGATTGTCTGAATGTTTGTTCCTTACCAAGTATTCCACAACACTGTTGCTGGGTTCTGAGTGTTTGGCACTCACATTGGTTTCCAGAACACTGCTACGAGGGTCTGAATGTCCCACACAAAGATTCCAGAACACTGCTAAGAGGGTCTGAATGTTTTTCCCTCAGAAAGGATTCCAGAACCCTGCTACTGGATTCTGTTTGTTTGTCCCTTACAAAGGATTTCAGAGCACTGCTCCTGGTTGCTGAGGGTTTGTCCCTCACATAGGATTCCAGAACACTTCTGCAAGTGTCTGAATGTTTGTCCCTTAGATAGGATTCCAGAAGACAGTGGGTGGGTTCTGGGTATTTGTCCATCACATAGGATTCCAGAACACTTCTGCTGGGTTCTGAGTGTTTGTCTCTCACATAAGGTTCCAGAACACTGCTGCTGTGTTCTGAGTGTTTGTCCCTCACAGAGGATTCCAGAACACTGCTCCTGGGTTCTGAGTGGTTGTCCCTCACATAGGATTCCAGTGCACTGCTACGAGGGTCTGAATGTTTGTCCATCACAAAGGATTCCAGAACACTGCTGCTGGGTTCTGAGTGTTTGTCCCTCACTTAGGATTCCAGAACAGTGCTGCTGGGTTCTGAGTGTTTGTCCCTCACATATGATTCCAGAACACTGCTGCTGGGTTCTGAGTGTTTGTCCCTCACAAAGGATTCTAGAACACCGCTCCTGGGTTCTGAGTGTTTGTCCCTCACATAGGATCCCAGAACACTGCTGCTGGGTTCTGAGTATTTGTCCCTCTCATGGGATTCCGGAAACCTGCTGCTGAGTTCAGAGTATTCGTCCCTCACATAGGATTCCAGAACACTGCTGCTGGGTTCTGAGTGTTTGTCCCTCACATTGGACTCCAGAACACTGCTGCTGGGTTCTGAGTGTTTGTCCCTCACATAGAATTCCAGAACACTGCTACGAAGTTCTGAATGTTTGTGGCTCACACGGGATTCCAGAACACTGCTGCTGGGTTCTGAGTTTTTGTCCCTCACATAGGATTCTGGAACACTGCTACGAGGGTCTGAATGTTTATCCCTTACAAAGGATTACAGAACAGTTCTGGAATCCTATGTGAGGGACAAACACTCAGAACCCAGCAGTGTTCTGGAATCCTATGTGAGGTCAGTGTGGGGGGATGGGGAGGGATAGCATTAGGAGATATACCTAATGCTAAATGACAAATTCATGGATGCAGCACACCAACATGGCACATATATACATATGTAACAAACCTGCACATTTTACACATGTACCCTAAAACTTAAGGTATAATAATAAATTTAAAAAATAAAAAAATAAAAAAAGAATTAACATAGTTTTATGTAGTCTTCAGTAGACAACAATCATCCATCTAAATTAAACAGTATTTTCTACAATCATGTGAATATAAGGCCACAATATTTACTATGAATAAATACCTTAAATAGTAATTTTAATATCGTTATTTATTCTTTTGAAATATAAAGTATTATAACTGAGTTAAGGTTACAGATAATTTAAAAAATGTATGTCATCACTAGTATACTAAGATTATTTATACTTAGATATTTATATCTAATATCCAAAGAAAATTTACTATCTAATTGTTACAGTAGATATTAATCTGACATGCTTATTAATTCATCCCATAGATATAATAATAGGTCAGCTGGGTGTAGTGGCTCACACCTATAATCACAGCACTTTGGGAGGCCAAGGCAGGCGGATCACCTGAGGTCAGGAGTTTGAGACCACCCTGACCAACATGGAGAAACCCCGTCTCTACTAAAAAAAATACACAATTATCAGGGAATGGTGGTGCATGCTTGTAATCCTAGCTAATCGGGAGACTGAAGCAGGAGAATCACTTGAACCTGGGAGGTGGAGGCTGCAGTGAGCTGAGATTGCATCATTGCACTCCAGCCTGGGCAACAAGAGCAAAACTCTGTCTCAAAAAACAAAACAAAACAAAAGATAGAGTAGTAGGTTAGCAAAATTTTACATTCTATCTTTTGTTTTGTTTTGTTTTTTGTTTTTTTGGGATGGAGTCTGGCTCTGTCACCCAGGCTGGAGTGCAGTGGCGTGATCTCAGCTCACTGGAACCTCTGCCTCCTGGGTTCAAGCGATTCTCTTGCCTCAACCCCTAAGTAGCTGGGATTACAGTTGTCTGCCACCACGCCTGGCTAGTTTTTGTATTTTAGTAGAGACGGGGTTTCACCGTGTTGGCCAGGCTGGTCTTCAACTCTCGACCTAGGTGATCCACCTAAGCCTCCCAAAGTGCTGGAATTACAGGTGTGAGCCACCGCGTCCTGCCTTACAGTCTATTCTTATGTTTTACTAAATTAGGAATGTCACTCTTACAGAACAAATCAATGCAAGTGTTGTGACGACCCAAAATTCATGAATCATAATAGTCTTCAGTTAGATATGTTGCAATCTCAGATATAGTATCTACTATGTAAACAGAGTCAAATTCCAATTCTTTATCAAAAAGTGCTGGCGAAGGTTGCCTGATGTGTTCCAGTGTAGATCCTCAATCCAATGGCCAGCAGATGAGAGAGCAGCAGAGATGGAAGGAAAATCTTAAGAAATTCTGCTGAGAATATGCCCCCTTTCTTCATAACACTGTGTTTCTTGTGTTGAGAGCAGCTGTGCATTTTGGGTGTTTAGAGAGGAAACTGTCTCAGGGGAGTGAGTATTTTCTGGTCGACTTGGCTAATATTATATGTAATCTGAATTTTTCTTTCAGATGCTTTTAACCTCTTAATACAATTTTATTCAGACTGAGAGCTGTTTTTCTCTTCAATGCCTTCGGTGTCTGTCTTCAGAAGGGACCCCCAAAAGTGTCTCATGGTGTTTCCGAGTGAGTTGGGCTGTCACAATGAGAACTCTTTCGCACTCTATCCAGACCCATGCTGGGAATCAAGCAGTATTTTTTTGTCACCATTATAAATAGAAAAGTAGCTGAAACATTGCTCCCATTTCCATTATTGCAAAAGTGCAATCCTACCCAGGAGTCCTGCAGGTTCTCCTCCTGCCGTTCAGGGACCCTGCTCCATAATGTGACACTGGAGTGCAGCTGTGGTGGTTGGAGTCCATGTGGAATGTGGGCTGCCAGCAGTGTGCTGTGAGCTGTGCCTCGATGGTAGATGGTAGGGGAAGAGATGGGACACAGGCCACCAGGACAGGGCAAGCAGGATTGCTGCAGCCCGTGGCCTAGGGAGTAGGGACCCTTTGCTTTGAAATGTAAATAGCCAAAAGAATAATATCCTATCTCACAGTGTCTGTGAAAGAACCAGAGCCTACTTTCGGCAGGCACCTGGCTGTAAGTTGCAAAACTACCTCCTATCATGAAGATGTCAGAAGTTCATTTTTCCTTTCAATATAACTAATTAACGTACACAGATGGCCTCCCCAATTACCAGGTGAACTTAGGATAAACTGTGTATGACAAATGATGCTGTGAAATCTTCTACTTGAGGACTAATTATAGAGACCCTTCTGTCTTTGCAATCTCTTGAGCAGATTGTCTGTGATTCATGTCGCATCACATTCTGGTTTTATTGTTCAATAAAACACTTTTCTTTCTGTTCTGTTATTGTGGGGTTTTTCTAGGATTGGAGATAATTTTCCTTTTAATTATATTTCTCAAACACTGTTCACAATTACCAGACATTGTATATATGTATAAAATGCCCACCAAGCTTCACTTTAGAGAAGGCTTTCCCCCTCAGGCTTCCAGTCAACCCAGTCAGTTGTGCTTCAAAGTGCACACTGCCCCCAGAGTATGCAAGCAGACTTGTGTCTCTGCCTGTTTCACATCTATAGTCCTCTACAACCACTCATAGAGACGTTAAGCCTTTCTACAAGTGGGTGACAAAATTCACAGGATAGTAATCAGCCATTTCACCTCTTTCAGAGACCATAGTGTCTTGAGACCTGAAACTGAGTTGGAGACTATTAGGACCAGAAGAACAATTAGGGTGACATGTGTGCATTGAGTAAACGTGAGTATCTCAAAGTTCCTCTTTCTTCTCCTCCCAAAATTCCCATAAATGTGCAGTTAATACCTGTCATTTCTCCATCCATCCAGGACCTAAATCTACAGTACCAAATTCTGAACCTCGGTCTTGAGATTAGAGGAAAAAGAATAACTTTGATCTGAGGAGGGCAAGTCCTTTTAGTTTTATCAGGCCCAGAGAGACATAAAAATGAGAACATAATTATGTTCTACTGCCTCCTTTGAGCTACGTGTTTACCTCTCGAAACTGTTTGCTATTCCTACAAGTAGATATAAATTAACCTAATAATGCCACACTAGATGTTATAAGCAATACCTCACAGCTTAAAAATATATAGCCAATTAGTCATCAATGTTATTTCTGTAGATCAAGAAGAATTTCTGACAAACAACTTTGTTTCAGTCCTCTCCCTGTCCCTCTCTTTTGCCTCTGTAAATCCACTTGTAACTGCTGCTAATTAAAGTATACATTCAAGGCAACTTGAATCTATGCTCCCAGATTTCAATCCTCAGGCTTGGCCCAAATAAACTCTCTTCTTAAATGAGTGTTGCCTTAGCCTTTTCTTTTTAGGCTGACATATCATGTGCTAGAGCAGACTTTATGATGGAAACTTTTTTTTTTTTTTTACTCTCCTTGCTGTAACACCAAAGAATGAAGAGTCAGGTTGATCTTACCTGTAATCTGTACATAAGAGCTGAGCTCTCCCTGGGATTCACAGGAGAGAGCCAGATTTTGGATTAAGAATGTACAGAAAACCCATAGGAGACATTTTCTGATCTGTGAGATGTCAGCATAGAAATCTTAAAGCCCTCCTTTCAGAGTGTATCCCTTTGAGCTTTCCAGATCTTTTCCAGTGACCTGCTATGGTTATGTGAGAGGCTGCTGGTGTAAATAGAATCTGGTTGCACAATCTGTAAGTGTAAACATGCATGTCAGCAGGGAGAGATCAAAGCCACAAAATACCCAGAGCAATGACATAAGTTTACCTATTTGTAAAATGTGATACTGGAGTAGAGTATTCTTGTCCTTTCTCTTACCTAAGACCTAGCTAATCAGAACAGGTGATATCACACGTAGATCCAGATTCTGGAGCTCTACCAGGGCAGTTCCATTTTCTATTTAGAATCAGCTTGAGTCTTTCCTACTTGGATCAACATATGGTCATCAGTCTATGGTCACTAGGAATCCTCTCACAATCACCCGGGAATCTTTAAGACATTTCAGGATGTCCTGTACAGACTTGGGTCAGGCTGGCAGGAGTGCCTAATTCTGCTTCCATGTTAGAGGAAGGGAAATGAGTCATTCAGTGTCTGTTCCTTCTTTTGTAGAAAGAATCTCCTTGGTTGGTACCTGGACGAGAGTTTCTCCAGTTTCCTTGGCAAAAAATTCAGGAGTTCTGGAGACTCAGACTGATAAACAGATTGCCTCCATTTCATATGGCCTTTAGAAAAATAGATGAAGCAGTCAGGGTCACTGTCATTCAAAAACTTTCAGTCTAGAGCAACTGGATAAATGGTTTAATTAAGCATCATATAGTCAATACAATAAAGTGGGAGTGTTAAGGGGACTTGGGCGATGACTCTGATGTTGTTGTGACTTCTGATATCACCTCCTGAAGAGCTATTCTCAAACAGGAGAGTTATTTGTATTTCTATTGCTTTTACCTTGCTAAGAATACATATTTTCTGATAAAATTATCCTAGAAAGCCCTAAAAGTTTTGGTTAAATTGCTTGTTATTATATGTTATAAAATAGAGTAGTGGCTAAATGGATTAAAATTATACAAACTCTTAAGTTTCTCTTGGACAGGCTTAGGAAAGACAGAACAAGAAGTACTCCAGCAGCATAGAGATCATAATTCAACATAGGACCGTTTCTCCACCCCAGCTCTGTCCAGATTCACACTTTTCTGAGGCTCATTCACGTCTGGTCCCACCCTGGAGTTTCTCCTCACAGAACTCATTAGAGGAGACCAGAGATTTGGGAGGTGGCTCCTGCTGCCTCTCCAGAGCTTATGCTCACAATATTCTGAAACCCAAAAGCAGATAAATTAGAGCAATAAACTATATATTTTGAGGTCTTAACTTCTTTCTTTTTAATTAAAACCAGTGCTTGTAGAGACATTCCATCCCAGTAGTTACTCCACAGTCACAAAAAAGTAAATAGAAACACAATAAAAAATCCCTTTAAACTACCCTTAACCCTTTCCTTTCTGTATCCCTCCCATCTCTTTATATTTATCTCTTATGCTATACATTTTAAAAAAAAATCAGTGAGAGGCCGGGCTCTGTGGCTCATGCTTGTAATACTAGCACTTTGGGAGGCCAAGGTGCGCGGATCACTTTAGCTTGGGAGTTCGAGACCAGCCTGACCAACATGGAGAAACCCTGTCTCTACTAAAAATAGAAACTTAGCTCAGTGTCATGGTGCATGCCTGTAATCCCAACTACTCGGGAGGCTGAGGCAGGAGAATCGTTTGAACCCAGGAGGCGGATGTTGTGGTGAGCTGAGATCATGCCATTGCACTTCCAGCCTGGGCAACAAGAGTGAAACTCCGTCCAGAAAAAAAAAATCAATGAGATAAACAGGGAAGAAAACAATGCTGGCCCCTTCATCTAAATTCTGAGAATTATTGAACTCTTAGGACCCAACTCTCAAGTTGTTATGAAGATTAAATCACATAATGTGATGTTCCCAGCACAGTGCTCTGTAACACACTCCTGAGCACATAGTACCTGCTTCATAAGCATTGCATAAGTATATGTGTACATGTTGTTTTTCAGTGCAGACTTACTCAGACGTTGTTGCCTTCTCCTGTCTCTGAAGTTAAAGAGCTAGCAAAGAATGTGGTTTTTCAGGATAGAGATTGATTGTTTATTTGATCAGAAGTATTTGTGTTGTGATGAGTGATGAGAGTAAGAGTCTGTTCCATGCCTGCTTTCTCTAGCTAAATGCTACTAATGATGGGTCTGGGGAAGCTACATCAGCATTGACAGGAGATGTGTTTAAAATGCACTTTCATGGATGCTTTTAAAACCTGCAGAATCACATTACATAGTGTGGGGCCAGGGTTACCAAATGATTTATATGCACATTGAAGTTTGAGAGGCAATGTTTAGCTAAGTGGTTCTTGGCCCAGGCTTCTAATTAAGATTCCATGGCCAGGTTGCAGAAATCTTTTCACTTGTACCCTTCCCACAGGCTCTGTATATTGTTCTGGGTGGAAGCATCCTTGTTGATATAATTAAGTGCCTCATGTGACTCCAGGTTGAGGCCAGGGTCAAACATGAGGATTTCAAAATACATTCATGAGAGTTGAGTTCAAACTTTATTCCAAAGGGAGGTCACAGGGCCTGCTATGGTTGGATTTGGTAGGGACAAGTTAGTGTGGCCCGTATCCCCATTGCTGTAGCAGAAATTGTGGCATCTGTGGCAGGAAAAGAGAAAGATAAATTTTGATCTTTGTGGAGGAGCTCGCTGTCCTTGAATCTCACCTGTTATAAAGAACATAAATGGGTGGACATTTTCTGCCTGCCTGGATCTTTCTACCTGTGTTTGTGGTGGTAGCAGGTGAAGAGATTGTGCTGATTTCTTTAAAGGCATATTCCCAAGATGCAGGTGTGACTTGTCCAGAGAATATCACCTGAGAAGAAATCCTAGAGAAGGATGATGAAGAGAAAAATGGCTTTTTCTCAGGTGACTGTGTCTCAGATCAGGAGCAGTGTTCACTCTGCCTCCTGGAATGCCATATGTTTAGAACTTACAAACCTGTACTTCTTGACTTTATGCTATTTCTCCCTATAAGTTTGTTTAAACACTTTTTCTTCTCATGATAGTCAAGAAACTCTGAAAAAATATTATTTTCTATACACTAGAGCCTTCTTGACATTCTCTTCATCTTGGCTTCTTCTCTGCCATGCAGAATTCTCACCATTAATTTATGACTCATAATATTAAAATTATTCCCTTTGGCTGGACGCAGTGGCTCATGCCTATTATCCCAGCACTTTGAGAGGCCGATATGTGTGGATGACCTGAGGTCAGGAGTTCGAGACCAGCCTGGCCAACATGGTGAAACCCTGTCACTACTAAAAATACAAAAAATAGCTGGGCATGGTGGCGGGTGCCTGTAATCCCAGCTACTTGGGAGGCTGAGGCAAGAGAATCACTTGAACCCAGGAGGTGGAGGTTCTGGAGGCTGCAGTGAGCCTACATTGTGCCACTGCACTCCAGCCTGGGCAACAGAGAGAGACTCCATCTCCAAAGAAAAAAAAAAAAAGAAAAATACCCTTTGTTGCTGGTGCTGGTGCACATGGAAATGTATGGATACCCAAGATTCCTACTGGGGAAGAGGTGGGGTTCTTAGATATTCATGAAAAATAGGAATATGTAATGTTGAAGTACTGTCTGTGTGCTCCATCAACTCGATGCGGAACAGGATTAAAATATGCACATTTGAACAAGATGGCATTTATTACCCAGAATAATTCAGAAAGTTTTGAAAAAAATAATTAGAAGATACTCTCTTTCTAGAATGCTAAAGAAAGTCTGTGTAAATACTTTAATAGAGATTACACAACATGAGTGATTACTGTAGTTTGCATTTTGCATAAAACTTGTTTCTTTATGATTAGATTTGAATTATAATTTGCTTCTTTGGCGGGGGCCAGTATCCCAGCAGTGATATTGTGTCCTTCTGTGAGCATCAGCGCATGATGAAAATTTGTTGTTATAATTGGTGTTAATTTGATTCGCTTAGTTAAATAGTTCTCTGAGAATTTTTTTCCACCGTAGAGTTATTTTTCTCTTTATTATTGAGTACCCTGGGGACATTTACCAGCTGATGTGCACAAAGCATCACATGTAATCTGGAAGTTCTCTTTTCTTCTTAGATTGTCTTTGCATATGTCTTTCTTTTAAAAGTGAAGTCCCTCATCTTTGTTTACTGGTCATAAAAACCCAGGCTCTGTCACTTAATGAATGTTTGGCAAAATGTTTATCTTGGGCCAGAAAGATTGGTGCCACTTGTGAGCTTGTTAGAAATTCAGAAACTCAGGTTTTACCTCAGGTTTCTTGAAACAAAATCTGCATAAAATGATCTCCAGTTTATGGTTGTACACATTAAAATTTGAGAGGTACTTTATAACTAAGCCTGAGTTTTTAATCTGAGAAATATGTAGAACTTATACTGTATGATTAAATGGAGCACTCAAAAATGTACATGTCTATGTTCCTGTTGTTAATTTTGTACTTTATCATTCAAAAAATATCATCAATACACTACACTGGTATTGTGAATCTTATGCTCTCTTTTCTCAGAGATAGAGAATACAACAGAGAATATTTCTTTGTTGGGAATTATTTTATAGGACAATTTCAGTCGTATCAGTCAGAATCAGTTCTCTTCACTCATTTTATCTTGAGTCAACTTAAGAATTCTGCCCATGGCCACTTGAAGTGGGTGTGGGTGTGTTTTCAGGGACTGTTGACATTCAGGGATGTAGCCATAGAATTCTGTCTGGAGGAGTGTCAATACCTGGATGCTGCTCAGCAGAATTTGTATATGGATGTGATGTTACAGAACTACAGAAACCCGGTCTTCTTGGTTGAGGATAACTTCAATATAGAATTCCTAATTTACCCTAAAGGTTTCATTTTCTTCCTTTGTAGGATGTGTTTTGGTAATTTCTGCTTTGCATGAGTAAATTTCAGATCCCTGTTTTCAAGACAATCTTGAGGATTTTTTGGTGTGGAAAATAAATTCTTCAGGTCGTTTCATTTTGACCTGAATTTTCCCCTTTCCTGAGTTTATCTATATTATTCACCCTAGATAAGTGGTAATTTCAGAAATTTAGCAGCATAAAATAATGTTGTCCACACCTTAAAATTCAATTGCCACCACCAATTTTTGATTCAGTAATACTGGGGAGTGAAACGGAGGACCCACATATTTAATGTACTTTCTGAATACGCTAAAGGTTCTGTCAGTAAAAAGTATTTTGGAATTAATTTTCTAGAATCTTCTATTATGTCCTCTTTTCTCTACTTAGAACAGTATTAGGTTGGTAAATGGAGAATTCCAGGAAAAGTCATGCTCATGCTGCTTTTTAAAATAAAACAAGTATTGTCTTCTCTAAGCCAGACTTGGTCACCTGTCTGGAGCAAAGGAAAAAGCCATGGAGTATGAAGCACCCAGGTGGGTGAAAGCCAATGAAGAAGAGGATGACATAGATGAGACATCCAAAGGCCGAGAGGAACCCGGACTTTTACATGTGATTTGGGAAGCTGTGCTCCAGTGGAAATCGTTTCTGAGAAGACTGGGTTTTTTCACTTGTTCTCACATAGGGACATCCTCTGTCTCATGCTCTCTAATGACTCTACATTTTCTTCAATAATTTTTCTTCAGATTTGCAGTGAGAGCCAAAGTTCTCTTTATGGCTTATAAAAGAGTGCACAATCTGACTACTTTTATTGCTTTTGGGGATATACAAATAGCTGCATATTTTTTAGAAACCCTGTGTTTAACCATTTTTAAGTTCTCTTTCTGCATTGTGTCTGAAATATGTAAAAGTAGTGATATTGAGACTTGGTTCAGAAATCCCAGAAATACAACAAACATATGTTGTATGTTTTCTGCTTCATAGTTTCTTATTTTATGGAGGTTTCAAATGTGTTTCTACAGAAATTCATGCTCGGTAATTTAATCAGAATATTAAGTATCTCTTTAAGAATATCTAATGTTATTTGAATTGAAATTTTTATTCTTGTAGTACTAACTGAGGTTAGTAATTTCAATTCTGTCTTAATTTCTCAACTGTAATATAACGTAGATATTTCCTACATTTCTTCAATTCACTATGTCAGGGAACTTAGAACATTACTGAGCATATGTTAAGCTCCCACTTCTTTCCTTGTTTTTTAAATTACTATTTTGTAATTTTATCTTGTTTAGGATAAAGTCTACCAGAACTGTAATTTATATGTGTGTACATATATGTAGGTGTGTATTGTGGATTTTTTTACAAATAAAAATTCTATATATATTTATTGTGTACAACGTAATGACTTACTGCATGTGTAGATTGTAAAATGATGAACACAATTATGTTTATGAGCATTTCTATCACCTTTCCTCACATAGGTACCTTTCTTGTAATGAAAATATCTGAGATCTGCTGACATCAAATTTTAAGCATACAAAAATTTAGTGTTAACTGTATCATGAAGCTATATATTACATTTGAAAAACTTACTCATAAAAGAAAATTTGTGTCTTTTCAACATCTTTTCATTTTCTCCCATATCCAGTCCCTGACAACTTCCATTGTAGTCTCTGCTTCTGTGAGTTCAGCTTTCTTAGATTCCCCATATAAGTGAGAATGTGCAGTATTTCTCTTTCTGTGTCTGGCTTATTTCCCTTGGCATAATGTCTTCTAGTTCTACCCATGTTGTTGAAATGGCAAGATTTTGTTATTTTTCAAGCTAAATGATATTCTATTGTTTATTTACACCAGCTTTTCTTTATTCAGCATCCACAAACATTTAGTTTTTTTGTATCTTGGCAATTGTGAATAATGCTGCAACAAATATGGTGGTACAGATATGTCTTCAAGTTACTTATTTCATTTCCTTTTGTTATATAAACAGTATTATATACACAATACTACTATTGCTAGGTTGTGTAGTAGTTCTGTATTTCAGATAACCTCTATTGGTTTTTGTAATGACTCCATCAATTTATAACTCTCCAAGAATGTACAGAATTTTTTTTCTTCAAAGTGTTGTCAACACTTGTTATGTTTCTTCTTTTTATATTATCCATTCTAACATGTTTGAAATGATACTCATCATGGTTTTGATTTGCAATTGCCTGATATTTGGTGATATTGAGTACTTTATGGCTTATCTGTTGGCCATTTGTATGTCTTCATTGGACAAATATCAGTTTAGTTTTTTGCCTATTTTGAACTGGGTTACTGTTGTTTTTCCTTTTAATCTGCTTGCATTTCTTATATATTTTGTATATCAATCTTTTATCAGATGTATGGTTTGCAAATATTTTTTCCCATGCTACAAATTTTTTTATTTTATTCTTCCCTTTTCTGTGCAGAAGGTTTTTAGTTTGATGCAGTCCAGCTTGTTTATATTTGCTTTCGTTGCTGTACTTTTGGTATTATGTCTAACAAATTATTGTTAAGACCATATCATGAGGATTTTCCATGTATTTTTCTTTCAGATTTTTTAAGGATTCATATTTAAGTCTGTAATTTAACTTTTAGCATGGTGTAAGAAAAATAAGTTAATTTTATTCTTTTGCCTGGAGGTATCCAGTTTTTTCAGAACCAAATATTAAAAAGACTATACATTGTTCATTGTGTATTTCTGGTGCACTTGTCAAAGATTAGTAAACTTTATATTCCTGGGTTTGTTTCTGGGCTCTATTCTGTTTCTTTGTTTTCTTGTGTCCATATTTTGCATGTACTACAATCTTAAAATATAGTTTGAAATCATAAAGTATGAAGTTTGGTTGCTTTGTTCCTTTTCCTCTAGATTGCTTTGGTTTTTCAAAGCCTATTGTACTTTCATGCAAATTTTAGAATTGTAGTTTCCATTACCGTGAAAAATGTCGCTGGATTTTTAATAGAGAGTTCATTGAAACTGTAGATCACTTTGACTCATATGGCACTTTATAATATTTATTCTTCCAGTTCATAAACATGAAATCTTTTTGCGTTTATTTGTGACTTCTTCCATTTCTTTCACAATATGTTTCAGTGTAAAGACATTTTGCCTCCTTTGTTAAATTCATTTTTCAGAAATTTATTATTTTAATTCTATTGGAAATAAGATTGTTTTCTTCCTTTTTTATCAGATGGTTTGTTGTTAGCATATAGAATCATAACTGATAATTATATGTTAATTTTATATATTGCTAATTTTCTGAGGGCATTTGTTAGTTTTTGATGTATTGTTTATGGTTTTCTATATATAAGATCATGTCACCTACAAACAGCAACATTTTAATTCTTTTCCTCAATTTGAATGTCATTTTTAGGGTCATTTTCTTGACTAATTCTTCTGCAAAGTACTTTCACTGCTATGTTAAAATAGAAACATTTACAATGGAACCATGTAGCCTTACCCCGGTGTCTATAAATTTGAAGAAGCAAACAGCTCTTTAATTTTTTATAAACTGGTTTCAGGAGGTACAGATCTCCTTTTGTTGGGTCCCCAGGGTAATGGGTCCCCAGGGTAATGGGATGCCCTATGAGCTTGTAGTAGGGAAGAGTTTATAACTTTGTCACAAGGCTGCTGGGTATGCAGTGGATTCAACTTTCAAGTGGCTTTTTACCAGGGGCTTTGGTTGTTGTGATTCCCATCTAATGTCTGGGTGGGCTGGATTTCCTTCAGGACTTTTATTTATAGTGCAGAAATTAGGACAGATTTCTGCAATTGGGTGTGCATATGGTGGACCTTATATCGGGATGTGGTAAGTGTGGCTACCACTGAGTATTTGAAAGATTTTTTCCACATCACTGTGTGGGTTCCTGTGTTGGCAGGAATTGTTGTGAACTGTGGCAAAGACAGCTGAAACTGAGTCACTGAACTCCTTTAGGGGCCACAGTAGAGGCCAAGGTCTGCAGGCCACAGTAGAGGCCCAGCTGGAGTGCAGTGGCACAATCTTTGCTCATTGCAACCTCCGCTTCTCAGGTTCAAGCAATTCTCCTGCCTTGGCCTCCTGAGTAGCTGGGATTATAGGTGCCTGTCACCATGCCCAGCTAATTTTTTTGTATTTTTAGTAGAGATGGGGTTTCACCATATGGGCCAGGGTGATCTCTACCTCCTGACCTCAGGTGATCCACCTGTCTCGGCCTCCCAAAGTTCTGAGATTACAGGAGTGAGCCACCATGCCCAGCCTTCTTGGCTGATTTTCAATAGTTGTCTTATTATGTGAAGGTGGGTAGTCATAGAAACAGTGGTATATTCACCAGGTGTTTAATGATAAATATATATATTTTCTTTCTGTGAGAGAAACACTTTAGTGATTTGATGGTGATTTATATTTATATATTTTGTGATTTATAGAAAGACCTATATAACTTGTAGTTGTTTTCAAAAAAAATTGTGAAAACACATAACATAAAATTTACCATCTTAAATCTTTTTAAGTCTATATTTCAGAGCTGAGTGTGGTGGAGGCTCATGCCTATAATGCCCGCACTTTGGGAAACTGAGGCAGAAGTATTGCTTAAACCGAGGAACTTGAGACCAGCCTGTGCAGCATATAAAGAGCCCTTCCCCACAAAAATTTAAAATTAGCCAGGTGTTGGGTTGTCCACCTGTGGTCCTAGCTCCTTGTGAGGCCGTGGCAGGAGAATCACTTGTGCATGGGAGGTTGAGGCTGCAGTGAGCTATGATTATGTGACTTCATTCTAGCCTGCAAGACAGAGTGAGAACCTACCTCAAAAAAGTTGTACATTGTAGTTGTTAAGAGTATTTACATTGTTATGTAAAGACCTCTAGAACTTTTACGTCTTCTAAAATTAAAACAATACCCATTAAGTAACAACTGCCCATTTTACCCTCTCTTTAGACCTTGAGTAACACCATTCTCTTTTCTGTTTCTATTTCACTACTTATGATGACTCATATCATGGAATCATATAGTATCTGTCACTTTATTACTATCTTATTTCAGTTGACATAATATTCTCAACATTTATTTAAGAATGTGACAGATTTACTATTTTAAGGCTTAATAATATTACACTGTATGTATATGTCACATTTTTAATTTGTTTATCAGTCAAGGGATATCTGGGTTACTTCTGCCTTCTGGTTTTTGTAAATATTGGTATATTTATATATATAGTATATATATAAATATATGTGTATATATTTATATAATATATTGGTATAATAAATATATGATACCAATATTTATATATTTAACATATATATTAAATATATATTTATTTATATAATATATATTTATTTATTTAATATATATTATATTAGTATATATAAAATATATAAATATTGGTATAATATAGTTAATATGTATTATATTAATATATATTAAATATATAAATATTGGTATCATATATTTATTATACCAATATTTCAAATATATATTCAAGTATATCTTCCAGGTTCTTTGTTTGAATATAGATTTGTATTTGGAATATACATTTATATTTATGTTTGAATATAGATTTATAAGTGGAATTCTTGGATTCAATTTATAAATATATTAATATATAAAAATATATTTTATATTCCAATCAAATAATATGATTTATATTTGAATATAGGTTTATAAATGGAATTCCTGAATTATGTAATTTAATTTTTAAGAAACATTCATAATATGATGGTTGCATCCTTTTTTCCCCCACCAACCATTCACAAGAGTTTTAATTTCTTTACATCCTCAACAGATTTGGCATTTTAAAAATTTATCATGGCCATTCTAATGGGTATGAGGTGGTTTTGTTTTGGATTGTAATTTTGTTTTGTATTTCTCTACAATTGGTACTTTTTTTGCATTATTTTAAGTGCTTTTTTCTACTTACATATATATTTTTTATTAAACATCAGTTCTATTCTTTGTGCATTTCTAAATCAATTTATTCAATGTTAGTTGTTCAATTTTAGTTGTTTATAATTCTGAATATTAACTCATCACATGTAATTTGTGAATATTTTCACCCATTTCTTCAGTGGCATTGTCATTCTACTAAATATTTTCTTTGGTGTGCAGAAAACTTGAAGTTTAGCATAGTTAAATTTTGGGGGTTTTTATGTTTTTCATAAGTATGATGTCATATCTACAAAAAATTGCCAAAACCAGTGTTCTGTATTTTCCCTATTTTTTCTTCTAAGAGTTGTATTAGTTATATGTTTTTTAGTTTCATTATTTTACTTAAAATGTGGAAGAAAATAATCCAACTTTATTTTTTTCAGTGTAGATACTCAGTTTTTAACATCATTTGTTGAAGAGATTTTTCTTTTCTCTATTGTGTAGTCATGGCAACTTTGTGGAAGATTATTTGATTATATAAAGAAGGGTTCATTTCTGGGCTATTTTGTTCTATCATCTGTTTATTTGTCTCTGTTAGTACCACATTGCTTTTGTTTATTATAGCTTTTTAATATATTTTGAAATCAGGGAATACAATGCCTCTTTGTTCTTTCTAATGGTTGTTTGGCTAGTTTTAGCTCATAATCAATTTAAAAAGTTTTAAACAATATTTCTGGTCAACAATGTACCATTGGAATTTCTTCATCACCGTGAGTTGTTTTCACATTTAGATTAAATTATCTGGACCTTGAGCAAGAATATATTAAAGAGTGTGTTTTATTTCCATGTATTTTTGAATTTGCCAGTTTATCTCTTGATTTTGATGTCCTTTCATTTTATTTTAGTCAGAAAACGTAACTGTAAAAGTTTGGTCATCTTAAATTTATTTATTTATTTTTGTTGCTATTGAGAGACAGATTCTCTCTGTGCCACTCAGGCTGGAATGCAGTGGTACAGTCTTGGCTCACTGCAGCCTCAACCTCCGAGGCTCAAATAATCCTCCCACCTCAGCATCCTAAATAGTTGGGACTACATACGTGTGCTTTCATGCCTGGCTAGTTTTTTTATTTTTTGTAGAAATGCGGGTTCTCACTATATTGCCCAGGCTGGTTTTGAAATCCTAGTCTCAAGTGGTCTTTCCTCCCAAAGTGCTGGGGGCTACAGGCATGTGCTACCACACCTGGCTGGTCTTCTTAAACTTAATAAGACTTGTTATGTGTCCTAACAGAATGCACCAAGCTCAAACAAGAATATTGTGTAATCTGTTCCTTTTTACTGGAGAGTCCTGTACATATTTTTAATGTGTAGTTGGTCTATGATATGATTTGGATGTTTGTACCCTTCAAATCTCATGTTGAAATGGGATTCCCAATGTAGGATGTGGATCCTTGTGTGGTGTGTTTGGGTCATGGGAGCAAATCTCTTGTAAATGACTTCACACCATCCCCTTGGTGACCAATGAGTTCTCACTCTGTTAATTCACATGAGAGCTGCGTGTTTAAAGAACCTGGCACTTTCTTTTCATGCTTGCTCCCTCTCTCCCTATGCAATATGTCTGGTTTCTCTGTGCCTTCACCATGATTGTAAGCTTACTTAGACCTTCACCAGATGCAGATGCTGGCACCACACTTGTGCATTGTGCATAACTATGAAGAAAATAAATCTTTTTTCTTTATAAATTACACAGTCTTAGGTACTTATTGCAATACAAAATGAATTAATATAATTTATAATGTCATCCAGGTTTTGTTCTCTTATTGATGTTTTATCTAACCTTTCACTTATTATTAAAGTGGGGTCTTAATGTCTGTAATTATTATGTTGCTATGTGTTTTTTGCTTCACTTCTGTCAATATTAGCTTTATACATTTTGGAACCCTGATCTTTTAAATAGATATAATAGTTATAGATTCCTGGTAAATGACCAATGTTACCATTATATAGTAACAATCTTTACCTCATGTTAGTTTTTGATTTACAGCGTATTTTGTCTAATATAATTATGACCACCTCACTTAATTGTGGATACTGTTTGCATGGAATATGTTTTTTCATTCTGTTTCTTTCAACCTATTTGAATCAAAGTTAAAGTGAGTCTCTTGAAATCCTGGTCTCAAGCAATCTTCCAGTCCTGGCCTCTCAAAGTGCTGGGGCTACAGACGTGAGCCACCATACCTGATTAGTCTTCTTAAACTTAATAAGGCTTGTTATGTGTCCTAACAGAGTACACCAAGTTCAAACAAGAATATTGTGTGATTTGTTGCATATTGTGTGATTTTGTTTGTTCTTATTCCATTCATCCATTTAATTTCTTATTATTAGTTTAATCAATTTACATTTAAAATGATTCCTTAGAGAAATGAAGCTACTATTACCATTTTGATTGTTATTATTTTCTGTGTTTCTTGTAGAGATGTTTTCCATAATTTCCTATTTTACTGTCTTAATTTTTGCTTTTTTGATTTTGTAGTGTTATGCTTTGTTTCCTTTCTCATTTTGTATTGCATACTTTCTATAAACTTGTAATTATCTAGGTAATTGGAGATTATGTAAAACATTTTAAAGTTATAACAATATTAGTATGTCATAACTTCAGTTGAATACAAAAACTATACCTCTTTACATGCCGTAGTGTTTTTTTGTTTGTTTGTTTTGTTTTGTTTTTGAGACGGAGACTTGCTCTGTCACACAGGCTGGAGTACAGTGGTGTGATCTCGGCTCACTGCAACCTCCGCCTCACAGGTTCAAGCAATGCTCTGCCTCAGCCTCCCAAGTAGCTGAGATTACAGGCACCCATCCCCACGACTGGTTAATTTTTCATATTTTTAGTAGAGACGGGGTTTCACCATCTTAGCCAAGCTGGTCTTGAACTCCTGACTTCATGATCCACCTATCTTGGCCTCCCAAAGTGCTGGGATTACAGGCATGAGCCATTGTGCCCAGGCTTACATCCTGTAGTTTTTTTATTATTACAAATATTATTTTATATTGTGTATCTATTAACAGATTTATGCAGATTTTTTTGTTGAAATTCTATAGTAGAATTTTAAGAGATTTTGCTTCATGATTATGGTAATAAACCATTGTATATGTGTTTATATATTTACATTTAACAGAAAGCTTTATAGTTTCATGTAGTTTTTTAAGGCTGTTCAGCACCATTATATTTTTCAACATATGGACACTTTTTGGCAAAAAAAAAAAAAAAAACAGCATCTCACTATGTTACTCAGGCTCATCTTGAACTCTTAGCCTCAACTAATCTGCCTGCCTTGGCCTCCCAAGACTCTGGGATTACAGACATGAGCCACTGGTGCCTGGCCACCATGTAGCATTTCTTGTGGGACCATGCCGGTGATGAGAAATGCCTTCACATTTTGTTTATTTTGTAAGTTCTTTATTGTTTCCTTATTTTTAGTTCCAGAATAATTCCAAATAATTTCAAAGCAAACAGTATTGATTGGTATTAGTTTTTCTTTTATCACATAAAAATTTGGAAAATTCTCATCCTCTTTTATCTTCAAATAACCCCTCTACTACTTTTTCCCTACATTCATCTTCTAAGATTTCTTTTCCAAATGTAGTAATCTACTTAATGGTGTTCAGTAAGTTTAACATTCCATGTTTTCATTTTGTTTTGCAATTTTATTTCATTTTACTTTATTTTATTTCATTTTTCTTGAGACAGAGTCTTGCTCTGTCGCCCAGACTGGAGTGCAGTGGCACAATCTCGGCTCACTGCAAGCTCCGCCTCCCAGGTTCACGCCATTCTCCTGCCTCAGCCTCCCTAGTAGCTGGGACTACAGGTGCCCGTCACCATGCCCAGCTAATTTTTTTGTATTTTTTAGTAGAGATGGGGTTTCACCGTGTTAGTCAGGATGGTGTCGATCTCCTGACCTCGTGATCCGCCTGCCTCAGCCTCCCAAAGTGCTGGGATTACAGGCTTGAGCCACCATGCCCAGCCAATTTTATTTCTTTTTTGTTTCATATTTTAGAGTATGCCACGTCACATCAGATAATTGTGTTTTTAGTTTTTTATTTTGTATGACAATTGTGAATGACAGTATTCAACTCTGTACACTTTAAGACAGCATGGAGCCAAAGTTACATATGAATCAGTCATATGTCTATTCCCAATATAATAATTTCTGTGTTTGTGTATACACATATTATTTCTGTATTGTTTATGACTTGTATGTTTGTGAGTGATCAATGGTCATTTTATCTGTGTAATCATAAAAATTCTCCTACTTCTAATATCTATTTAGGAATCTATTTTGGTGTGGGAGAAACACTTTTTTGATTTGAAGGTAATTTTAAAAACTGTCAATTTTGTCCTTTTTTAGGTATCATTACTGTTTATTTTTAATTATCAAGAACATAAAATTTAGAATCTTAATGTTAAAATATGTAGTGTATATTAATTATATTGACATTATTATATAATATATCTCTAGAATGTTTTTGTCTCACAAAACTAAAACTGAATACACATTAAACAACTACTCATTTCTCCCATTTTCTGGCCCTTTACAAACAATTCTGTTTTGCTGTTTTTGAGTCTAACTGCTTTAAATATCTCATGTAAGTGGATTCATACAGCATTTTTTGTGGCTGACATATGTTATTCTGCATAATTTCATGAAAGTTTGTTATGGTTGTTAGAATATTTCCTTTTTTTTTAGACGGAGTTTCGCCCTTGTTGCCCAGGCTGGAGTGCAGTGCAGCGATCTCAGCACACCACAATCTCCACCTCCCAAGTTCAAGCCATTCTCCTTCCTCAGCCTCCTGAGAGGAGGCTGGGATTACAGGCGTGCACCACCATGCCTGGCTAATTTTTGTAAGTAGAGATGGGGTTTTTCCATGTTGGTGAGGCTGGTCTCGAATTCCCAAACTCAGGTGATTCACCCACCTCGGCCTCCCAGTGTGCTGGGATTACAGGTGTGAACCAGTGTGCCTGGCTTGTATTTCCTGTTTTTAAACACTGAGTAATATTCCATTATTTTTATGTTTCAAATTATATTTATCCAGTAGTCTGGCAAGAAAAATATGCATTGCTTTCACCTATTGCCTGTCAATAACAATGCTGTAAAAATTATGGATGTGCAGCCAGGCGCGGTGGCTCGTGCCTGTAATCACAGCACTTTGGGAGGCCAAGGTGGGTGGATCATAAAGTCAGGAGATCGAGACCATCCTGGCTAACATGGTGAAACCCCATCTCCACTAAAAATACCAAAAAATTAGCCAAGCGTGGTGGCGGACACCTACAGTCCCAGCTACTTGGGAGGCTGAGGCAGGAGAATGGCATGAACCTGGGAGGCAGAGGTTGCAGTGAGCCTAGATTGTGCCACTGCACTCCAACCTGGGCAACAGAGCAAGTCTCCATCTAAAAAAAAAATTATAGATGTGCAAATAACTCTTCCTGTGATTATATGTGTGAGAGTTTATATTTATACTACATTCTCTTTATTTGGTCTAGTTCACTTTTTATAACCAAACCAAATGGTTTTAAGTCTATATAATGTGTTTTGAAATCAGGGAGTTGTGATGCCTCCAACATTGTTCCTCTCTTTGAGGATTATTGGGTGTTTCATTGTTTCTTAAAATTTCATATAATTTGGGGGTTGCTTTTTCTATTTCTGCTAAAATAAAATTAGATATTTGAAAGGGATTGCATTAAATCTGTAGATTACACTGAGCAGTATGGGCATCTTCACAATATTAATTATTTTACCCTTCGATCATGCTGAATATTAATTATTTTACCCTTTGAGCATGCTGAAGAGTGTGTTGTTTAATTTTCATGTATTTGTAAATTTTTTAGTTCTGTTTTTGTTGATTTCTACTCTCATTCCATTTTGGTCATAAAAAGTAATCTATCAATTTCAATTTTTAAAGATTTAGTAAGTTTTTATTTTTATCATGGCCTAACAGGCAGTTTATCAAAGAGAATGTATGTGAGCTACTGAGAATGGTTGTACCCTGCTATTTTTAAGGGGTGTTCTTTGTTAGGCATAATATTGTTTTATACTTCTTTCTTTGTATATTTTTTTTCTTTTTGAGATGGAGTCTTGCTCTGTCGCTGAGGCTGGATTGCAGTGCCGCAATCTCGACTCACTGCAAACCCCGCCTCCCTGGTTCAAGCAATTCTCCTGCCTTAGCCTCCTGAGTAGCTGGGATTACAGGCACCTGCTACCGCACCTGGTTATTTTTAGTAGAGATGAGGTTTTGCCATGTTGGCCAGGCTGGTCTCAAACTCCTTACCTCAGGTAATCTGTCTTCCTTGGCCTCCCAAAGTGCTGGAATTACAAGCATGAGCCACTTGTTCCCATCTGTACTGCTTTCAGTTTCTCTTTTCCTTTTTTTTTTTTTTTTTGAGACAGAGTCTTGCTCCCACCCAGGCTGGAGTACAGTGGTGCGATCTCGTCTCATTGCAAGCTCCGCCTCCTGGGTTCATGCCATTCTCCTGCTTCAGCCTCCTGAGTACCTGGGATTACAGGCACCTGGCACCACGCCCTGCTAATTTTTTGTATTTTTAGTAGAGACCGGATTTCATCATGTTAGCCATGATGGTCTCCATCTCCTGAACCCGTGATTGCCTGCCTTGGCCTCCCAAAGTGCTGGGATTACAGGCATGAGCCACTGTACCTGGCCCTCTTTTCCATTATTAATATTGCTTGTTTTATTGTTCATTGCAGAAATTGAAATTTTAAAATATCTTATTATAATTATATTGCTCTCTATTTGTTGCTTTAATTCTTTCAATTTTTGCTTTGTATTTTTGGAAACCTAATGTGAGAAATACACATACACACACAAACATATAAATATATGTATGTACATATTTGTCATACATTTTCAATAAATGATATCTTTATTATTGTTTAATGACCTTTTTTCTCTTGTGAATTTTGAGATAAAGTATATTTTATAAAATAAGAGATTGACTTACGATGTATTTTGTATGATACAATTTTGATCTCTTCTGCTGTCATTTGGTTAATGTTTGCCTAAAATGTCTTCTTCCACTTGCCACTTTCAGGCTGATTTCGCTACTAGATCTCAAGTGACTCTTGAAGAAAGGCAAGTTGGATCTTGGTATATAAAATTTTATATAATCCTTCTATTCAATGTATGTATATTGATTGGCAAGTCTATTTTTAAAATATTTATTTTCTGAAGACAAAGATTATTGTTATTTTATTGTTTAATGATTCTTGTAGGTCTGTTTCTCATTCTATCTTCCTTTGTGTCTTTTTGATTTTTGTAGGGATAGGCTGTCACTCCTTTCTTATTTTCTTTTTTGTACCTATACAGACATTTTCTTTGTGGGCACCTTCAGGATTATATAAAAACTTCTTAAAATTTGAACAATATATTTTGAAGTGGTGAAATTTAAATTCGGGTTCCTGCACAAATTATTTCTTATTACATCTGTCCTCAACTTAGTTATTGATGTCACTAAACATATCTATTTATATTATATATTTATTAACAGATGTTCATTATTATTTTTAGCTTTTATCTTTTAATTTTAGAGAATAATTAAATAAAACATTTTCTGGTATTATAGTAATGCTACAGGATATTTTTTCTATAATATTTGCATATCTTTATATCTTTCCTAGAAAGCTACCTATTTGTATATGATAGTTTTGTTTTTTAGCATCGTATAGTTTTAGTAGGAGGACTCTTCTCAGCATTTTTTGTAGGGCACATGTAGTGTTGATATAATTTTTCCACATTTGATTATCTTTAGAAGTCTTTCCTTTTTCTTCATGTTTGTAGCACAGTTTTGCTGGTTATATTATTCTTACATAGAAGCTATTTTTCATTTGGCACCTTGGCTATAGCACACAATTTCCTTCTGGCCTGCAAGGTTTTTGTTGAAAGAGTCACTGGTTATATCATAGAACCATAATTATGTATTTTCCAGCATTTGAGATTCTCTTCTTGCCTGTGACTTTGGGAACTTTGCTTTACAGGTCTTGTTATGGATCTGTGTGTTTCCTAGTTTTAGTATGTTGAGCTTCTTCATTTTTACAACCTTATTTTCTTACTTTTGAGAATTTCTCAGGTATTCTTAATTTTTTGAGACAGTGTCTTGCTCTGTCACCCAGGTTTGAGTACAGTGGCATGATTGCAGCTTACTGCAGCCTTGGATTCTCTAGGCTTATGTGATCCTCCTACCTCAGCCTCATGTTTACTGGGACCACAGGTGTGTGCCAATACACCTGACTAATTTTAATTTTTATAGAGAAGAAATATTGCCATGTTTCCCGGTTTAAACTTGAAATCCCTAGGTTCAAGTGATCTGCCTGCCTCAAACTCCCAAAGTGCTGGGACTACAGACATGAGCCACTACACCTGGCCTCAGTCATTATTTCTATTTCTATTTTCTACTTCCATAATCTCTATTATATTTTTCATCTTTTCCTTGATATTCTATTTTTTTTTTAATTTTATTTAGTTACCTGTGTTCCCATTTAGGTTAAATTTTTAAAATTAATGTGTACATCTTTATTTTCATGGTTGTTTTCTGACAGTTTTAAGTTTTTTTTTCTACTTAGGCCATGTCACTGTAATATTTTGTATGTATTGTACTCTTTGGTTGAGATTTGGACATTAACAAACAGCTACCTCTCACAATCTTTATAATGCAGTGTTGTCCTAACATAATCTGAAACCAGCTGTCTCAACTAGAGATTCTGGGAGCTTATCAAATTTGTTATGATGTGTCTTGTGTGGAATTTTGTGTTGATTATTCAGTTAAAGGGGTTTGTCTGTGTTTCTTAACAGTCTGTAATTACTTCCTATACATATTGCATGTCTGTGGTACTGTAGTTTGTGTCTGTAACATTTACCTTTGGTCTCAGCAGACTCAAGCTGTTATTTCAAAGTATACCATCATTTCTTTCAGCACATTTTGTCATTGGAGACAGAAACAAGTCTCTGTAAAAGTGCCCAGAAGCCAGAAGTAAAAATACATGAGCCAGTTTTTTCTTTTTCTATATTGAGGAAGATGGCAGGCCTTGCAATTTACTTCTAAAAGTGCCATGCTGCATTATGGAGGAAGAAAGGTGTTGGGCAAATGTAACAAACTTTTCTATCCATTCAGTATGGCTTGTGGCATTTTGCTCACCTGGTACACTGAACACACTGAACTCATTTCTAGATTTTCCATAAACACATTTTGGTCAGGACAGTTTTGTTATAAGTCTATAAAAGAATTAAGACCTGTGGTATTTTTCTTATGCCATGTTGCTAATGTACTTTGTTTAATTTTATGTATTAGATTTGTAAACAATAGATTTGTATATTTACATGGGCCTAGTGAGATAATTTGTTATTTTTATTTCTTTCAGCTGTGTTCTCATTTCACCCAAGACCTTTGGCTAGATCAGAACACAAAAAATTCATTTCAAAAAGTGATGCTGAGAAGATATGGGAAATGCAGACATGAGAATTTACAAATAAGAAAAGGCTGTAAAAGTTTGAATGCATCTAAGGTGCAGGAAGGAGGTTATAATGGACTTAACCAATGTTTGTCGATTACTCAGAGCAAAATACTTCAATGTAATACATGTGTGAAAGTCTTTAGGAAATTTTCAAATTCAAATAGACCTAGGAGAAGACATACTGGAGAGAAACCTTTCAAATGTAAAGAATGTGGCCAATTCTTTCACAGGTTCTCACGCCTAAGACAACATCAGATAATTCATACTGAAGAGAACCCCTACCAATGTGAAGAATGTGGCAAAGATTTTAAGCAGTCTTCAGATCTTACTATACATGAGAGAATTCATACTAAAGAGAGACCCTACAAGTGTGAAGAATGTGACAAAGCCTTTAAACAATCTTCAAAACTGAATAAACATAAGAAAATTTATACTGGAGATGCAACCTACAAAAGTGAAGAAAGTGGCAAAGTTTTGAAGTAGTCTTCAAACCCGACTATACATAAGATTATTCATATGGGAGAGCATCCCTACAAATGTGATGAATTTGGCAAAGCCTTTAGAAAATCCTCAAAACTGAAAGAACATAAAAGAAGTCATACTTGAGAGAAACCCTATAAATGTGAAGAATGTGTCAAAGCTTTTTACTATTCCTCAGGCCTTACTCAACATAACATAGTTCATACTGGAGACAAACCCTACAAATGTAAAGATTGTGGCAAAATTTTTAAGTGGTCTTCGAACCTTACTATACATCAGAGAATTCATAGTGGAGAGAAACCCTACAAATGTGAAGAATGTGGCAAAGCCTTTAAACAATCCTCAAAACTGAACGAATATATGAGAGCTCATACCGGAGAGAAATCCTACAAATGTGAAGAATGTGGCAAAACTTTTATGCAACCTTCAGGCCTTACTCTACATAAGAGAATTCATACTGGAGAGAATCCTTACAAATTCGAAGAATGTGATAAAGCCTTTTATTGGTTTTTAATCTTTACTAAACATATGATAATTCATAGGGGAGAGAAACCCTACAAATGTCAAGAATGTGGCAAAGCTTTTAAGTGGTCTTCAAACCTTACCATACGCAAGAGAATTCATACAGGAGAGAAACCCTGCAAATGCGAAGAATGTGGCAAAGCTTGTAGGCGGTCTTTGGGGCTTACTATACAAAAAAGAATTCATACTGAAGAGAAACCCTACAAATGTGAAGAATGTGGTAAAGCCTTTTACTGGTCCTTAAGCTTTACTAAACATAAGATAGTTCATACTGGAGAGAAGCACTACAAATGTCAAGAATGCATCAAATCTTTTAAGGGTCTTCAAATCTTACTATACATAAGAGAATTCATACTGGAGAGAAACCATACAATTGTGAAAAATGTGGCAAAGCCTTTTACTGTTCCTCAAACCTTATTCAAAACGACATAGTTCATACTGAAGAGAAACACTACAAATGTCAAGAATGTGGCAAAGCTTTTAAGAAGTCTTTAGACCTGAATGTACATAAGATAATTCATAGTGGAGAGAAACCCTACAGATATGAAGAATGTGGCAAAGTCTTTAAACTATCCTCAAAACTGAAAGAACATAAGATAACTCATAGTGGAGAGGAATCCTACAAATGTGAAGAATGTTGCAAAGACTTTTACTATTCCTCAAGCCTTACTAAGCATATGATAGTTCATACTGAAGAGAAACTGTACAAATGTGAAGAATGTGGCAAAGCTTTTAAGTGCTCCTCTGAGCTTACTATACATCAGAGAATTCGTACTAAAGAGAAACCCTATAAATGCAAAGAATGTGTCAGAGTCTTTAAACACTACTCAAAACTGAATGAACATAAGAGAAATCATACTGGAGAGAAAACCTACAAATATGAATCATGTGGCAAAGATTTTTAAGCAGTCTTCAGGCCTCACTTTACATAAGAGAATTCATACTGGAGAGGAATCCAGAAATGTGAAGAATGTCGCAAAGCCTTTTACTGGTCCTTAAGCTTTACTAAACATAAGAGAGTACATACTGGAGAGATACCCTACAAATGTCAAGAATGTGGCAAAACTTTTTCTTGTTGATCAAGTTTACTCGACATAAGAGAGTTCATACTGAAGAGAAATCCCACAAATGTAAAGAATGTGGGAAAGACTTTAACCAGTCCTTTAGCCTTACTAAACTCATGAGAATTCATACTGGAAAGAAGTCATACAAATTGGAAGACTGTGGCAAAATCTTTTAAGTATTGCTCAAATATATCCAGCCATAATTCATACTAAAGATTATGCCTATGAACCTAAAGAAGTTTGGCAAAGCTTATGAATACACCTCAAACTTTCCTAAGCATTGGAGAAATATCAGTGAGAAACCTCAGAAAACTGAACAATGTGGCAAGGCCTTTAAATGGTTGTCATATCTTACTGTAGGTAAAATAATTGATAGTGGAGAAAATCTCTGCAAACAAAGAATGTGTCAAAACTTCTAACATGCTCATACCTTATGGCACATAAAAGGGTTTATACTTGAAAAATTATACAGAGTGTGGAAAAGCCATTTCTATTTGCTCACATCATAGTCAACATCAGGAAGTTCATACTTAATAAAATTATTATAAATGTAATTACTTTTGAAAGACCTTGGAAAATTTAAATCTTTAAAGTAAAAAAGAGTACTCTGGAGACAAACATTACAAATATAAAGAGGGTTGTAATACCTTTACTTGCCATATATAATGTACAGATTTTATGCTAGAAGAAAACTCTAAAGGAATTACTCAAACTTGTTCAGCCTCAGAGAATTTATGTTGAAGGAAAACATACAAATGTAATAAATGTGGAAAAACATTTGTTCAGAAACTACAGCTTAAAAACACCACGCAGTTTATAATAAAAGATATTTTTGCAGATGGAATACATGTGTAAAAATATTTAGTCAAAATTAAGTCTTCGTAAACTTTAGAAAATTCACAGTAGGAAGAATTAAGGCACTGGCACTTAAGATGTTACACTAAATCAGAATGTTCCGTATAGAAAGTAATCCAAAGCTAAAACTGTTGGATAATTTATTTGTATATAAGTTTAAGAGGAGTGGAAGATTATTTTTTGTAGTGTTATACTTACATTCAAGGTATACGTTTTTCCTTGAAAAAAATGTAGATTTTTTGAAAAGCAAATAGTGAGGTAATTCAACTATAAAATTGCTTCATTCTGTTCCTTTTTTCCTGTTGTTTGTGTAAAAGCATGTCATCAATTTCTGTTGCATCAGAAATCTGAGAGATTCCTTTCTTATTAGGTAGGCATCATTCATTAACTTTTCCGTGGAAGAGTAAGGATATTAAAATGTAAGATGCATATTGAAAATCTAATTGGAGAGGCTTTTATGGCTGACTTTTAACATTTTTCATGTGATACATGAGTTATGTGTTTAGAGTAATATTCTGCATTATAGTGAGAGGAAAACTTTGAGTTTTAGTAGTAAATTGTTTTACCAATTGTACTTTTATGTAATAAAATGTAGGGAATTTTAAAATTCTTTTATAAGACTGTGATAACTTAGCTTTTAAATTAAACGAAATAGTTTTAAACCTTTTAAGACCTGCATATGTCACCAACTTTAACGTGTCCCACCTTATTAAAGATGTAGATAAAAGATGGTAACATAGTAGAATGACCTCTCTAGCAATCTCTTTTGCCTGTGACATTAAACTGAAAAGTTTAAGAGTATTGTTTCAATGGGTAAAATGTACATTTGTTTAACATTTTAAATTTTTGTAGGAACATAGTATTGTTTACCTATTTATGGCATATATAGAATATTTTCATACAGGCATACAACTTGTAATCACATCAGAGTAAATGAGGTATTCATTACGTAATGCTTTTTTTGTGTTACAGATAATCCAATTAAATATTTTTAGTTATTTAAAAATGTACAAGTAAATTATTACTTGCTACAGAGGTTTTTTATGGTCATAATAATAATTACATAGTAGTATAATAAGAAATCTCACGTTTCTAAGTCCTGAATGAATATTTTTAAAAATTGGTCATATATATTTTGAACAAGTGGCCTATCTGCCTGTAAACTCATACAGACTGTTAGTTTTTTACTTACATGATTCTAAATATACAAATATTTTACTCTTAAGATAAACATTAGGTGTAAGAAATTTGTGGGGCAAGACAAGAAATATTGGAACAAAATATCACTTTAATAAAGTGGACAAATCATTTATTAGAAGACCAGAAACCTCAGTGATTTTGAATAATATCTGTATTCTCTGTATTTTATTTAATTCATTACTGTGAAGTCTTATGGATTGCGTTTCCGAATCTTTCCATGCAAATTCTTTCTTTCATGTGCCTGGTACTCATGGTAGACTGACTTTTTTTCATATTTTTTGTGTTTATAATTTATTAAGTATTCATTATGTGAGTTGCTCAGGTATTTTAAGAATTTTTATAAAATTTACTAATGCATGCAAAATAATTTTTCAGTGTTATTTCACAATGTGTGTATTAACTTATATTTCTTTTGTTGCTTTCTTTTTTCTTTTTTTTTTTTTTAGATGGTGTCTCACACTGTCACCCAGGCTAGAGTGCAGTAGTGGGATCTCAGCTCACTACAACCCCGCCTGCTGGACCCAAGCAATTCTCTTGCCTCAGCCTCCTAAGTAGCTGGGACTACAGGCATGTGCCACCATGCCCAGCTAACATTTTTGTATTTTTAGTAGAGACTGTGTTTCACTATAATGGCCAGAGTGGCCTTGAACTCCTGACCTGGTGGTCCACCCACCTTGGCCTGCCAAGGTTCTGGGATTACAGACATGAGACACTGCATCCGACCAACTTATATTTCATTTAGTTAGAACATCCCATTTTGTTATTTTAATTGGAGAAACCTGTGTAAGCTACGTTTCCTTTATTATTGTTCCTTTTACCCTTTATAATTGACATAGGTGAATTTATTCATTCAGCCAATTTGTTTAGGTAAATACTGGGGAAGCTTCATAAGTCATAAAGATGTTTTGATATGTAAATATAGCAAACACAATGCTTGCTGTGTAATAGATGCACCATTATTGGCCACAAATATTTCTGCTGGAGTTAGTTTGTAGCTCCAAGTAAAAATAAAGAAACAAGCATGGTGAAGAAATAAAATCGATTCTGTATATGGAGAGGACACTGTCCTTATGCTGCAAAATTGATTCTTTCTGAATTTAAAGAGACATTCTGCTTATTTTCTGATTATCTTTAGTTTTCTTTGTGTGTCTACTTATGTTTATCCCAACTGTGTATGCATCACTGCCCTTCTTTTTATTCTTTGTGTTATGGCTACATCTTTATTCGCTGTTTGTTTTTTGCCATGTCACTTCACACAGAACTTTGTAGGTTCTGATGAAAGTTTGTCAATGTAACTTTCAGATCTGTTAATTGAGATAAAAGGCATGCAGTGTTCACAGGTGAGAGGAATAAATCAGTCAGAATTTCTTGTCTTTGCAAAACCAAACTTTTATTAAATTTTAACACAGTCTGTGTGTGGTGGCTCACAACTATAATCCCAGCACTTTGGGAGGCTGAGGTGGGAGAATCACTAGGTCAAGAAGTTGAGACCTTCCTGGCCAATATAGTGAAACCCCATCTCTACTAAAAATACAAAAATTAGCTGGGCATGGTGGCATGCACCTGTTGACCTAGCCATTCAGGAGGCTGAGGCAGGAGAATCACTTGAACCCAGGAGGCAGAGGTTGCAGTCAGCTGAGATTGCACAACTGCATTCCAGCCTGATGACAGAGCTAGACTTCATCTCAAAAAAAAAATTAACAATGTGTGGAAAATATAAAATTAGTTAGAAGATATGTCTTAGAAATTAAACTTTTAGAAGAGTTAATGGTAAGTGGAGAATGTTAAATTTAATTTTTTATTACATACTTACAGCTCAACTTAAGTTTTCATTCAGAATCTTTTATTTTGGTGTGAATGTTAAATATTCAAAAATAATAGAATGACACCTGTGGATTTCAGTTGTGAAATAATCTTTTTCATATTAATGTTAAAATCTTGAGGAATTTCTCACACTTGTATAATGTACTTTTTTATTGGGTACAGTTTACAATTTAAAGGTTTCCGTCTTTGTCACCTAACTAGTCAACTCTTTGGTCATTTTATCTGGAAAAATTTTAAAGATCATGGCATCTTTTGAGTTAAAAAATTTCTTCAGTGATCTGGGATGCAAACTTATTTACTCTCCTCAGAGTGGTTTAATCATGTGAAACACAGCAAGAGCTGCCCTTTTTGTGTCTTCCCTATCATTACCACCAGCACCAGAAACTCCAGTTGTCCCAAGCTCAAAATAAAAGCCCTAAGGTACATTGGCTTCTCCCATGCTCTGTGCTGGGTCCCGAACATGGTGGTAAATATTAGAGTTCATATGGTCATGACAGACTAGGTGACAAAACAGCACAGAAACTGTATCTTTCATACTATTTAGACAGGTTTATGACAAAAAACACAGGTCAGAATTTGAAACGTTGTCATTTTTAATAGTGTTTATAAATATATTTTTAAATTCACTGATGACATATGTATTTATTTTGTGAAATAGTATTTTGAAGTAAATATACATTGTCAATGTCTAATTTTAGGTAATTGTCAAATACTTTGCCTCACATAGTTATTATTTTTGTGGTGAGAAGACAACATTTACTGTCTTAGCATTTTTTCAGAAATACAATACATGCATTATAATCTCTTTAACTTATTTTTCTTATCCAAATATAATTATGTAATCAAGATACGTTTTGTAGAATCCACTTGTGAGTGAAATCATGAGATATTAAACTTTCTGTGCCTTATTTCAACAACTATAGTGTCCTTTAGGTTTATTTTTGTGATTAAAAATAACATTTTCTGTTGAAAATACAGTATTCGATTGTATATATATACCATAGTGTCTGTATTTCGTCATTGGATGATGGACACATATGTTGATTCTATGTTTTCACTTCTGTAAAGTATGCTGCAACAAACAGAATTGCAGATGTCTGTTCATCAATCTAGTTTCATTTGTGTTGTGATAGATATCCAGTAGTTCAATTACATGTTAGAGTTCAATTGTTTTGCAAAATTTCTATTTTTCATAATGGCTGTTTTTATTTACATTGACACAAACAGTGTGAAAGCTCCCTCTTTCTCTTTTTTCAAGTTTACCAACAATTTTTTTAAACATTTTAACAGGAGAGAGTTTATATCTTAGAGTTGTTTTGGTTTGCCTTTCCTTGATGATAATTGACTTTGAGCCATATTCATCTATCTGCCAAGCTATATGTATGTCTTTCTTTGAAAATTATTTATATAGATCTTTTGCTTATTTTTCAGGTTGTTTTTTGTTGTATAGTCCTTTGAGTTTCTTATATATTTTTGATATTAACTGCTTTTCACATATGTAATTTGCAAATATTTTCTTCCATTTTTCAGTTATGTCATTCTGCTGATTGTATCTGTTGGTGTGCAGCAGTTTCTTAATTGTAAGGAATCTAATTTGTCTATTTCCCCCTAAAATTTTGAGGTTAAACCCAAGAGTCACTGCCCAGACCAATGTTATGGGGCATTCATTCTCTATTTCCTCATCCTAGTTTTAGATTTTCAGGTCTCATATTTAAGTATCTAATTTGAGTTAATTTTTATATATGGTGTGAGATGAAGGTCTGATTTTATTATTTTGCATGTGGATATATATTTTCTCAACATCATTTATAAGAGAGACTGTTCTTTTTTTTAAAAAATTGTTATCTTTATTTAAAATCAGTTGTCTGTAAATACATGAATTTATTTCTGATCTTTCCCTTTTGCTCTGTTGGCCTTTGTGTCCATTTTTATGTAAGTAACACTCTGTTTTGATTACTGTAGCTTTGTTGGACATTTAAAAGTCAGGTAGAGTGATTCCTTCAGCATTTTATTTTTCATTTTTTGCTTGATTTTCTTAGCTATTAAGGCCTTTTGTGGGGCTATATACAATTTTAGATTTTTAAAAAACATTTATGTGAAGAATTTAACTGGTATTTTAATAGAAGTTGTATTATATCTGTATATCAGTTTTTGTAATGCTGATATTTAACAATATAATCATGCCCATTTATGAATTAGAAATATCTATTTGCTTGAATATCATTTATTTTCTTTTTTTTCCCAGATCTTCGTGTTTTTTTTTAGATTTTTTTTTTTTTTATTTTACTTTAAGCTTTAGTGTACATGTGCACAATGTGCAGGTTAGTTACATATGTATACATGTGCCATGCTGGTGCCCTGCACCCACTAACTCGTCATCTAGCATTAGGTATATCTCCCAATGCTATCCCTCCCCCCACCCCCACCCCATAACAGTCCCCAGAGGGGGATATTCCCCTTCCTGTTTCCTTGTGATCTCATTGTTCAATTCCCACCTATGATTGAGAATATGCGGTGTTTGGTTTTTTGTTCTTGCAATAGTTTACTGAGAATGATGATTTCCAATTTCATCCATGTCCCTACAAAGGACATGAACTCATCATTTTTTATGGCTGCATAGTATTCCATGGTGTATATGTGCCACATTTTCTTAATCCAGTCTATCGTTGTTGGACATTTGGTTTGGTTCCAAGTCTGTGCTATTGTGAATAATGCCACAATAAACATACGTGTGCATGTGTCTTTATAGCAGCATGATTTATAGTCCTTTGGGTATATATCCAGTAATGGGATGGCTGGGTCAAATGGTATTTCCAGCTCTGGATCCCTGAGGAATCGCCACACTGACTTCCACAATGGTTGAACTAGTTTCCAGACCCACCAACAGTGTAAAAGTGTTCCTATTTCTCCACATCCTCTCCAGCACCTGTTGTTTCCTGACTTTTTAATAATCGCCATTCCAACTGGTGTGAGATGGTATCTCATTGTGGTATTGATTTGCATTTCTGTGATGGCCAGTGATGATGAGCATTTTTTCATGGGTTTTTTGGGTGCATAAATGCCTTCTTTTGAGAAGTGCCTGTTCATGTCCTTCGCCCACATTTTGATGGGGTTGTTTGTTTTTTTCTTGTAAATTTGTTTTAGTTCATTGTAGATTCTGGATATTAGCCCTTTGTCAGATGAGTAGGTTGTGAAAATTTTCTCCCATTTTGTGGGTTGCCTGTTCACTCTGATGGTAGTTTCTTTTGCTGTGCAGAAGCTCTTTAGTTTCATTAGATCCCATTTGTCAATTTTGTCTTTTGTTGCCATTGCTTTTGGTGTTTTAGACATGAAGTCCTTGCCCATGCCTATGTCCTGAATGGTAATGCCTAGGTTTTCTTCTAGGGTTTTTATGGTTTTAGGTCTAACATTTAAGTCTTTAATCCATCTTGAATTGATTTTTGTATAAGGTGTAAGGAAGGGATCCAGTTTCAGCTCTCTACATATGGCTAGCCAGTTTTCCCAGCACCATTTATTAAATAGGGAATCTTTTCCCCATTGCTTGTTTTTCTCAGGTTTGTCAAAGATCAGATAGTTGTAGATATGCAGCGTTATTTCTGAGGGCTCTGTTCTGTTCCATTGATCTATATCTCTGTTTTGGTACCAGTACTGTGCTGTTTTGGTTACTGTAGCCGTGTAGTATAGTTTGAAGTCAGGTACCATCATGCCTCCAGCTTTGTTCTTTTGGCTTAGGATTGACTTGGTGATGTGGGCTCTTTTTTGGTTCCATATGAACTTTAAAGTAGTTTTTTCCAATTCTGTGAAGAAAGTCATTGGTAGCTTGATGGGGATGGCATTGAATCTATAAATTACCTTGGGCAGTATGGCCATTTTCACGATATTGATTCTTCCTACCCATGAGCATGGAATGTTCTTCCATTAGTTTGTATCCTCTTTTATTTCCTTGAGCAGTGGTTTGTAGTTCTCCTTGAAGAGGCCCTTCACATCCCCTTTAAGTTGGATTCCTAGGTATTTTATTCTCTTTGAAGCAATTGTGAATGGGAGTTGACTCATGATTTTGCTCTCTGTTTGTCTGTTGTTGGTGTATAAGAATGCTTGTGATTTTTGTACATTGATTTTGTATCCTGAGACTTTGCTGAAGTTTCTTATCAGCTTAAGGAGATTTTGGGCTGAGACGATGGGGTTTTCTAGATATACAATGATGTCGTCTGCAAACAGGGGCAATTTGACTTCCTCTTTTCCTAATTGAATACCCTTTGTTTCCTTCTCCTGCGTAATTGCCCTGGCCAGAACTTCCAACACTATGTTGAATAGGAGTGGTGATAGAGGGCATCAATGTCTTGTGCCAGTTTTCAAAGGGAATGCTTCTAGTTTTTGCCCATTCATTATGATCTTGGCTGTGGGTTTGTCATAGATAGCTCTTATTATTTTGAAATACGTCCCATCAATACCTAATTTATTGAGAGTTTTTAGCATAAAGGGTTGTTGAATTTTGTCAAGGCCTTTTCTGCATCTATTGAGATAATCATGTGGTTTTTGTCTTTGGTTCTGTTTATATGCTGGTTTACATTTATTAATTTGTGTATATTGAACCAGCCTTGCATCCCAGGGATGAAGCCCACTTGATCATGGTGGATAAGCTTTTTGATGTGCTGCTTGATTCGTTTTGCCGGTATTTTATTGAGGATTTTTGCATCAGTGTTCATCAAGGATATTGGTCTAAAATTCTCTTTTTTGGTTGTGTCTCTGGCCGGCTTTGGTATCAGAATGATGCTGGCCTCATAAAATGAGTTAGGAAGGATTCCCTCTTTTTCTATTGATTGGAATAGTTTCAGAAGGAATGGTACCAGTTCCTCCTTGTACCTCTGGTAGAATTCGGCTGTGAATCCATCTGGTCCTGGACTCTTTTTGGTTGGTAAGCTTTTGATTATTGCCACAATTTCAGATCCTGTTATTGGTCTATTCAGAGATTCAACTTCTTCCTGGTTTAGTCTTGGGAGAGGGTATGTGTCCAGGAATTTATCCCTTTCTTCTAGATTTTCTAGTTTATTTGTGTAGAGGTGATTGTAGCATTCTGTGATGGTAGTTTGTATTTCTGTGGGATCGGTGGTGATATCCCCTTTATCAGTTTTTATTGCATCTATTTGATTCTTCTCTCTTTTTTTCTTTATTAGTCTTGCTAGCGGTCTATCAATTTTGTTGATCCTTTCAAAAAACCAGCTCCTGGATTCATTAATTTTTTGAAGGGTTTTTTGTGTCTGTATTTCCTTCAGTTCTGCTCTGATTTTAGTTATTTCTTGCCTTCTGCTAGCTTTTGAATGTGTTTGCTCTTGTTTTTCTAGTTCTTTTAATTGTGATGTTAGGGTGTCAATTTTGGATCTTTCCTGCTTTCTCTTGTGGGCATTTAGTGCTATAAATTTCCCTCTACACACTGCTTTGACTGCATCCCGGAAATTCTGGTATGTTGTATCTTTGTTCTCATTGGTTTCAAAGAACATCTTTATTTCTGCCTTCATTTCGTTATGTACCCAGTAGTCATTCAGGAGCATGTTGTTCATTTTCCATGTAGTTGAGCGGTTTTGAGTGAGTTTCTTAATCCTGAGTTCTAGTTTGATTGCACTGTGGTCTGAGAGATACTTTGTTATAATTTCTGTTCTTTTACATTTGCTGAGGAGAGCTTTACTTCCAAGTATGTGGTCAATTTTGGAATAGGTGTGGTGTGGTGCTGAAAAACATGTATATTCTGTTGATTTGGGGTGGAGAGTTCTGTAGATGTCAATTAGGTCCGCTTGGTGCAGAGCTGAGTTCAATTCCTGGGTGTCCTTGTTGACTTTCTGTCTCGTTGATCTGTCTAATGTTGACAGTGGGGTGTTAAAGTCTCCCATTATTAATGTGTGGGAGTCTAAATCTCTTTGTAGGTCACTCAGGACTTGCTTTATGAATCTGGGTGCTCCTGTATTGTGTGCATATATATTTAAGATAGTTAGCTCTTCTTCTTGAATTGATCCCTTGACCATTATGTAATGGCCTTCTTTGTCTCTTTTGATCTTTGTTGGTTTAAAGTCTGTTTTACCAGAGACTAGGATTGCAACCCCTGCCTTTTTTTGTTTTCCATTTGCTTGGTAGATCTTCCTCCCTCCTTTTATTTTGAGCCTATGTGTGTCTCTGCACGTGAGATGGGTTTCCTGAATACAGCACACTGATGGGTCTTGACTCTTTGTCCAATTTGCCAGTCTGTGTCTCTTAATTGGAGCATTTAATCCATTCACATTTAAAGTTAATATTGTTATGTGTGAATTTGATCCTGTCATTATGATGTTAGCTCGTTATTTTGCTCGTTAGTTGATGTAGTTTCTTCCTAGTCTCGATGGTCTTTACATTTTGGCATGATATTGCAGTGGCTGGTACCTGTTGTTCCTTTCCATGTTTAGCGCTTCCTTCAGGAGCTCTTTTAGGGCAGGCCTGGTGGTGACAAAATCTCTCAGCATTTGCTTGTCTGTAAAGTATTTTATTTCTCCTTCACTTATGAAGCTTAGTTTGGCTGGATATGAAATTCTCTGTTGAAAATTGTTTTCTTTAAGAATATTGAATATTGGCCCCCACTGCCTTCTGACTTGTAGGGTTTCTGCCGAGAGATCCGCTGTTAGTCTGATGGGCTTCCCTTTGAGGGTAACCCGACCTTTCTCTCTGGCTGCCCTTAACATTTTTTCCTTCATTTCAACTTTGGTGAATCTGACAAGTATGTGTCTTGGAGTTGCTCTTCTCGAGGAGTGTGGTGTTCTCTGTATTTCCTGAATCTGAACGTTGGCCTGCCTTGCTAGATTGGGGAAGTTCTCCTGGATAATATCTTGCAGAGTGTTTTCCAACTTGGTTTCATTCTCCCCATCACTTTCAGGTACACCAATCAGACTTAGATTTGGTCTTTTCACATAGTCCCATATTTCTTGGAGGCTTTTCTCATTTCTTTTTATTCTTTTTTCTCTAAACTTCCCTTCTCACTTCATTTCATTCATTTCATCTTCCATCGCTGATACCCTTTCTTCCAGTTGATTGCATCGGCTCCTGAGGCTTCTGCATTCTTCACGTAGTTCTCGAGCCTTGGTTTTCAGCTTCATCAGCTCCTTTAAGCACTTCTCTGTATTCGTTATTCTAGTTTTACATTCTTCTAAATTTTTTTCAAAGTTTTCAACTTCTTTGCCTTTGGTTTGAATATCCTCCCATAGCTCGGAGTAATTTGATCATCTGAAGCCTTCTTCTCTCACCTCGTCAAAGTCATTCTCCATCCAGCTTTGTTCCGTTGGTGGTGAGGAACTGCGTTCCTTTGGAGGAGGAGAGGTGCTCTGCTTTTTAGAGTTTCCAGTTTTTCTGTTCTCTTTTTTCCCCATCTTTGTGGTTTTATCTACTTTTGGTCTTTGATGATGGTGATGTACAAATGGGTTTTTGATGTGGATGTCCTTTCTGTTAGTTTTCCTTCTACCAGACAGGACCCTCAGCTCCAGGTCTGTTCGAATACCCTGCCGTGTGAGGTGTCAGTGTGCCCCCGCTGGGGGGTGCCTCTCAGTTAGGCTGCTCGGGTGTCAGAGGTCAGGGACCCACTTGAGGAGGCAGTCTGCCCGTTCTCAGATCTCCAGCTGCATTCTGGGAGAACCACTGCTCTCTTCAAAGCTGTCAGACAGGGACATTTAAGTCTGCAGAGGTTACTGCTGTCTTTTTGTTTGTCTGTGCCCTGCCCCCAGAGGTGGAGCCTACAGAGGCAGGCAGGCCTCTTTGAGCTGTGATGGGTTCCACCCAGTTTGAGATTCTCAGCTGCTTTGTTTACCTAAGCAATCCTGGGCAATGGCGGGCGACGGTCCCACAACCTCGCTGCTGCCTTGCAGTTTAAACTCAGACTGTTGTGCTAGCAATCAGCGAGACTCCGTGGGTGTAGGACCCTCCAAGCCAGGTGCGGGATATAATCTCGTGGTGCACCGTTTTTTAAGCCGGTCGGAAAAGCGCAGTAATCGGGTGGGAGTGACCGGATTTTCCAGATGCCGTCTGTCACTCTTTCTTTGACTCGGAAAGGGAACTCCCTTACCCCTTGCGCTTCCCAAGTGAGGCAATGCGTCGCCCTGCTTCAGCTCGCGTATGGTGAGCACACCCACTGACCTGCACCCACTGTCTGGCACTCCCTAGTGAGATGAACCTGGTACCTCAGATGGAAATGCAGAAATCACCCGACTTCTGCGTCGCTGATGCTGGGAGCTGTAGACCGGAGCTGTTCCTATTCGGCCATCTTGGCTCCTCCGCCTGAATATTATTTATTTTCTAACTTTTTTTTTTAGATAATAATGTACAGATCTTTCGCCTTTTTGTTTACTTTCATTTCTAAGTATAGTTACTGCTGCAATTATTGTAGATGGGATTGTTTTTTGGTTTTATTTTCAGATACTTTATTGTTAGTGTATAGAAAGGTTACTGAATTTTTATGTTGATTTTGTATCCTGCATGTTTAATAAATTTGTTTATTCTAATAATTTTTTGTGAACTCCTAGGTTTTTCTGTACTTAAGTTTATATCATCTGCAAGGAAAATATAATTTATCTTCTTCATTTTTTTTAAGATTGCTTTGACTTTATTGAAAAATTTTTCTGTCTTCGTCATTTTGTATTATGTTCAGTAAGATCAAAGGAATTGGGCTGGGCTTGGTGGCTCACACCTGTAATCCCAGCACTGTGGGAGGCAGAGGTGGATGCATCACGAAGTCAGGAGACCAAGACCATCTTGGCTAACAAGGTGAAACCCTGTCTCTACTAAAAATACAAAAATTAGCTAGGCGTGGTGGCAGGTACCTGTCGTCCCAGCTACTCAGGAGGCTGAGGCAGGAGAATGGTGTAAACCTGAGAGGCAGAGCTTGCAGTGATCCAAAATTGCACTACTGCACTCCAGCCTAGGCAACAGAGCGAGACTCCATCTCAAAAAAAAAAAAAAAAAGGATTGGAGAAATTAGACATCCTTGGCTTGTTCTAGCTCTTAGAGAAAAGGCTTACAGTTTTTCCTTATTTAGTATGTTAGGTGTGCATTGTTGTTACACATGACATTACCTTGAGTTGCATTCATTTTATAACTAGTTCAAGAGTTTTATTATGAGGAGATATTGAATTTTGTTACACTTTCATTATACATCTATTTGAATGTTACATTTGTGACAACCAATCCCACAAAAATACAAAAGATACTTGCAGACTACTATAAATATCTCTGTGCACACCAACTAGAAAGTCTAGAGGAAATGAATAAACTCTTAGAAATATACAACCTCCCAAGATTGAATCAGGAATAAACAGAAGTCTTGAAGAAATCAAAAACGTGTAAGCAAATTGAATTGGTGATAAAAAATATCTACCAATTATAAAAAGTGCTGAACCAGATACATTCACAGCATGATTTTATCACATATACAAAAATTAGTTGGTTGTAATTCTACAGAAAGTATTCCAAAAAATCAAAGTGGGACTCCTTCCTAATTAATTCTATCATATAATATCAGTCTCATCTTGATATATTAATCAAGTAAAGACACAACAAAAAAAATTACAGGCCAATATCCCTGATGAATACACACACAAAAATTATTCATTAAATGCTTGCAAACTGAGTCAGGAAATCAAAGTTATTTCACTGCAACTATGTGGACATTATTCTGTGAATGCAGGAATGTTTTAACATGCGCAATCTATAAATGTGATTCAACGTATAAAAATAATTCAAAAACAAAACCACATTACCTCAATAGATGTGGAAATAGCAATTAATAAAATGTAATATCTATTTATGTAAAAAATTCTCAAAAAACTAGGCATTGAAAGAACATACCTCAAAATAATAACAGCCATATAAGGCAAATCCTCAGCCAACATCATACTGAACAGGTGAAAGATTAATGAATCCTTCCTAAAAATTGAAATAAGAAAAGAATGTGCACTTTCACCACTCCTATTCAACATAGTTCTGAAAGTTTTAGCCAGAACAATCAGGCAAGATAAAGAAGGAAAAATCACTCAAATAAGAAAAGAGGAAATCAACTTATCTGTCTTTACTGATGATATAATTTTCTACCCACTTCAAAGACTCCTCCAAAAGACTCCTAAGCCTAATAAAAGACTTCAGCAAAATCTCAGCAACAACAACAAAAAGCAAAACAGCATTCAAAATGAGGAACATTTCTATACACCAGTAACACTTAAGCAGAGCAAAATTAAGAACACAATCCAGTTTACAATAGCCAGAAACAAAAAATAAAATAGTGATCCATTAAACAAAGGAGGTTAAATATCTCTACTAGAAGAACTACAAACCACTACTGAAAGAAATCAGACACAGTGCAAATAAATGGAATTGTATTTCATGCTAATGGATTAGAATTGTTAAAAAATTCATACTGCCCAAACAATCGACAGTTTATTTCTATTTCTATCACTCTACCAATGCCATTTTTTATAAAATTAGACAAAAAAAACTATTGTAAAATTTATATGAAAACAAAAAAGCTCAAATAGCCAAGGCTATACTGAACAAAAAGAATAAACCTGGATACGTTATGTTACCAAACTTCAAACTTTACCACAAGCTATGGTAACCAATATAATATGGATGCAGATACACACACGTACACATCCCTATTGAACAGAAGAGAGAGCCTTGAAATGAAGCTGAACTCTTACAATTAATTAATTTTTGACAGCATCAACAGAAACAAATGGAAAGAACTCCCTACCCAATAAAAGGTGCTGGAAAAACTGGTTAGTCATATGCAGAAGAGGAAAACTCGACTGCTACTTCTCATGATATAGAAAATTAACTCAAGATACATTAAAGACTTATCTGTAAGATTTCAACCTATAAAAATCCTAGAAGAACACCTAGAAAATTCTCTCCTTGGCATTGGTCTCTGTAAAGAATTAATGACTACATCCTCAAAAGTGAAAGCAACAAAAAAAAATTAAAAATTGTGACCTGCACAGCAAGAGAAACTATTAACAAAATAAACAGATGACCTACAGTATGAGCTAAAATATGTGTAAACTGCATACAACAAATAACTAATATATATGTTTTATAAAGAATTTAAGAAAAAATGTTGACAAAAAATGTGAACATATATTTTTAAAAGACAAAAAAAGCAGCCATCAAATATATGAAAAATTGATCAACATTTCTAATGATTAGAGAGACGTAAATCCAAACCACAATGTGATACCATCTCACCCCAGTCTAAATGAACTATTATTAAAAAGTAAAAAAAACGGATGTTAAAATTGTGTAGAAAAGAGAAGCCTGATATGCTCTTAGTGGGAATGCAAATTAGTTCAGCTCCTGTAGAATGCATTTTGGGGATTTCTCAAAGGACTAAAACTAAAGTTACCATTTGACCCAGCAGCCTCACTACGGGACATATACCCAAACACAAATAAATTTTTCTACCAAAAAGACACCTGCACTCATATGTTTATTGCAGCACTAGTCACAATAGCAAAAACGTGGAATGAAACCATGTGCTCATAAATCTTAAGATGGATTTTAAAAATTAGGTAATTACACACCATCCAATACTATGCAGCCACTGAAGAAGAATCATGTAATACTCTTTGCAGCAACATGGGTGCAACTCAAGTTCATGATCCTAAGCAAATTAACACAGAACAGAAAACCAAATACTACATTTTCTCACTTATAATTGGAAGCTAAACATTGGGTACACATGGAAGCAAAGATGAGAACAATAAACACAAAGGATTCCAAAATGGAGGGAGAAGGGGTACAAGGGTTAAAAAGTACTTATCATGTATAATGTACACTACCTGGGCAATGGGATTATTAATTGTCCGAACCTCAACGTCATGCAGTATACCTATGTTACAAATCTGCACATGTATCCTTGAACCCAAAATAAAAATAATAAAGTACTTTGTGATATAATGCCATGTTAGATTTCTCCAGTTTTGGTTAATGGTTGGAATTAAGGGTGGAAGACATAGAATTTTGTCCCCTTTAGACATAGGGGTGAATGTTTCTATAACAGGTCTCCTGACAGCCTATAAGCTATTTTCTCTGAAAGCTCTTGGCCTTAGTCTTGAGTGTGCAGCTAAAATAAATGACTGTACGTGAAGCTTGTCCAACTCATGACCTACAGGCTGCATGTGGCCCAATATGGCTTTCAGTGCAGCCCTAAACAAATTCATAAACTTTCTAAAAGCATTATGAGTTTTTTGTGATTTTTTTAATCATCATTGGTGTATTTTATGTATGGCTCAAGACAATTCTTCTAGTGTGTCCTAGGGAAGCCAAAAAATTGGACACCACTGCTCTACATCTTCATTTTTCATCTATTTACAGTATGCTAGATGATAGTGTTAATTTATTAGTCTACTCCTTTGGGAAACAAAGATGGTCAGTGGTTTAAGTTTTTTTAGAACCATTTTTGAAAATACGAAGCTATGGCAATCATACCTAAGTGACATAATTAGGAAATGACATTTCTAGAAAAAGCATGAAAGCTTTATGTTTAAAGCTCAAGAACAATGAAACGGGAGTATTGGTTATTTAAGACAACAGTCCTGCAAAGGCAATCATTGCATCACAACCATTTTGGTGAAAAAGAATAATGTGTCAGAAGGAATTTTTAGAATAATTTTCTGATTATATGGAAGTGTTAAATTTTTATTTGTATTATTTATCATATATAAGTCTGTAAATAAAAGAAAAGATGGCATGACTTTCAGTTGAATCTTTTCACACATATATTCTCCCTAGAAGGGCAGTGGTGTGTTTTTCAAAAGGGGTAGCATTGCTGGCTTTCATTGTGCTGCTATGATTGTGTGCTAAATGAAGGCAGAAAGTGAAGCAGAGTCAACCAGGACGTTTCTAGTTTCTACATCCACATCATCTGAAATCTAGTGTTATGTCAACTAGAAATAATCCTGGGGCTAAGTATTTTAAAACTGAAAAAAATGCATTGACAAATATATTTTTTGTTTATTTTTATAGTTTATAAAAATTTATAGCTTCTGACTTATTATAAGTTAAAACCATTTGAACATGTAGATAACTAAAAGTTCCATCTTGATGATGGTATTAATATTTAATAACATGATTGTGAGCCACATTTGCCCCATTTGGCTTACTGAAAAGCAGTATTTTAAATGGAGAATAGGATTTCCATAATTCCAAGCATACAGATCTTTTAAGATAAGCACTATGCTTAGATTTGAATAGTTTGTGTTTGTAGTAACAGGAACTTTAATATTTTTTTCTAATAGGAGCAAAAAAAGCAATAAAAATAGGTAGTTATGATTAGTTCAAAAGAAACTTCACATATGGTCATTAAAGGAGTAGCTGGGGTTACAGGCATGTGTCACCACACCCAGCTAATTTTGTATTTTTAGTAGAGATGGGGTTTCACCAGGTTCATCAGGCTGATCTCGAATGCCTGACTTCAGGTGATCCCCCCACCCCGGCCTCCCAAAGTGCTGGGATTACAGGCGTGAGCCACCATGCATGGCCAGAAAAAGTATTCTTATGTTACTGTTTCTGAAACTTTCAGAAACCTTAGTCGACTCAATGGATGATGATGTACATGCAGAGCACAAATTATAAATAAAATAATAGGCTCCTTTTAGCTTTTAACATTAAAACTAAATATATGTCAAAAGTAAAATTAGTGGCTCTTTTAAGTCCTGAGAAGAATGTCAGTGTTAGAAAGCCTTTACCAAAGTATTTGTGTTAGGTTTAGTAATGAGTGCTTTGCAACAAAAATTAAGTTCATTTCTTTTTTATATCTTTTTTCTTTTTTTGTTATTTCTAGAAGTATATTAATTTTAAAATGTAAACTATGACTGTGTTAAATGCCTTCATTTATATGCGTTTTTGTTAATATTTTGCCTGACGGAGAAGATGAGTTTTTAAAAAAATTTTCTTGAATCAAGACCATTAATTAACATAGAGACAAAATAGTAATGAAAATCGACAATTATCTAGCTCCTAGTAATCCTTACCTGTCTCACTCAACATAAAGTCTACATCTTTGCATCTCTCTTAGTTATAAGGAAGTGGCATTTGATCAAATTGGTCAGCATGACATTGGGTAAAATGTAACAATGTTTTGGTCTGACAGTTGAACTGATTTATTACCAAAGAAGTTGATTTTTTTAGTATGTGATATTTTACTATTTTCTATTTATTTAGGGAAACTAAACTGACAAAGCATGAAATTAAAATTTTATTTCAAATGGAAAATGCTTAAACATGTATTATAGTAACTAAAGCTAAAAATATTTTTGGATTTTTAAATTAAAGAATATCTCAAGTGCTTCAAATTACCTTCCCCTGACAGCAGATTATATTTTACTTTATTGCTAAAATGGAGTTTGGCTGTCTTTTATGGCTGGATTCATCATTTTCATTCTATTTTTTTGTGCACTATTTGCATCATGCATTTCACATTTTAATAGTTGTGGTTCATGCGACATGATTTTCAAACAATTGTCCTATTGACATGGCAAGCCATCTGCTTAATCAGCAGTCTCTTTATTTTCAGTCTTTTCAAAGCCGCTTTGCCTGAAAAGCAAAGAGACAATTCAATCCAGTGTGCCAAGCTGGTCCCCTCCAGTGACCATCTATTCAAATTCACACAGGTGATCTTTTGGTGAAGGAAGGAAGGTGCACTTCAACAGCATTGTCACAGCAATGTGGAACAGATATTATAAAATACAAGATGAAACATTGTCTTCAAGGAAAAAAAGTTGATTTTTCTTATTCTGTGTACAAGAGTATCTGATGGTTGTAAGGTTGAGAATAAAGAGTAAAGTTGGGCCAGGCTCGGTGGCTCATGCCTATAATATCAGCACTTTGGGAGGCTGAGGGAGGCGAGGCGGATCACAAGGTCAGGAGACTGAGACCATCCTGGCTAACACGTTGAAAGCCTGTCTCTACTAAAAAATATAAAAAATTAGCCAGGAGTCATGGCAGGTGCCTGTAGTCCCAGCTACTTGGAAGGCTAAGGCAGGAGAATGGCATGAACCTGGGAGGCGGAGCTTGCAGTGAGCCGAGATTGCACCACTGCACTCCAGCCTCGGCAACAGAGTAAGACTCCATCTCAAAAAAAAAAAAAAGTAAAGTTAGAGAAAGAAAAAGCTTTACATTAGCAGTACCTTCTTGTTTGTCTAACACATCCTGAATGGTTTTGTCAAGTGTTAGGTTGCCATATCCATCATTTGTTAGACTCTCATAATCATTTTCTATCTTACCAGTGTAATTATGCAATTGACATCATCTGGAGTTGATGTCTTTGATTCTTAGGTTCTCAGACATAAAACTATTAAATTATTATTGATAAAAATATTAGGTTTTATTTGCCTGTTTTACTACAGAACATTTGATGCCAGTAAGCTTAAGTCCCTTGAACCTTTGAAAAAAATGCTTTAGCTTTTCCTGCTTGGAAAGTCAAATTTGGTCAAAAGTAAATATAACAACAAACTTGAATACAAATTATTTTTTAATTGAATCCCAAAAATTGAATAAAACAATACATTTGATATTTACTTGAGTATATGTCAGAAATACTCAAAAAATTCAAATAGATACAAATTTGAGACTGAGCTGAAACTTGAAAATTATACCTGCTTTCATGACAAATCATTTTGTGATCACATTAATTTTCAATTTAGCCATGTTTTATAGTAGACTTCAGTAAAAGTCAGCTGTGGTCCAAATGTAAATACTGACATATTAGAGAAGAAAATGTTGGTGATAAAGAATACAAAACAAATCATAATAGTACTTGCCTTGATTTGTTCCCAACCACCAACTCTGAGACCAAGATTTAACTGTTACATCAACATTGTCCACAGTGGAAAAAGGAGAATTTTAAAATCAAACACATCTGAGCTTGATTTGGGTCATTAGCTGTGTGTCCAGGATAAATTATTCCACAACCTTGAAGCTTTAATTTTTTTTTTTTTTTAGATGGATTCTTACTCTTGTCATCCAGGCTGGAGTGCAATGGTGCAATCTCAGGTCACTGCAACTTCCACCTCCCAGGTTCAAGCAATTCTCCTTCCTCAGCCTCCCAAGTAGCTGGGATTACAGATGCCTGCCACCATGCCTGGCTAATTTTTGTATTTTTAGTAGAGACGAGGTTTCACCATGTTGGCCAGGCTGGTCGCAAACTCCTGACCTCAGGTGGTCTGCCCACTTTGGCCTCCCAAAGTGCTGGGATAATAGGTGTGAGCCACTACACCCTGCCTTAATCTTTATTATTAATAGAATTACTATTTCTTCCAGGGCTGTTTTAATTCATACATTGTAGCTATAAGTATTTTTCATTAAAAGTCTTGTCTAAATACAGTAAATATTTGAAAATAAGATTATCATTTAAAAATATTTTATTGTAATTGTATACGTTCTGTTATATTTAATGTATTTTTTAAATGCTAATTTTTATTTGTTGTGGGAAGTCAGGGACCCCCAAATGGGGGGACCGGCTGAAGCCATGGCAGAAGAATGTGGACTGTGAAGATTTCATGGACATTTATTAGTTCCCCAAATTAATACTTTTATAATTTCCTATGCCTGTCTTTACTGCAATCTCTAAACACAAATTGTGAAGATTTCATGGACACTTATCACTTCCCCAGTCAATACGCTTGTAATTTCCTATGCCTATCTTTACTTTAATCTCTTAATCCTGTCAGCTGAGGAGGATGTATGTCACCTCAGGACCCTGTGATAATTGCATTAACCGCACAGGTTGTAGAGCATGTGTGTTTGAACAATATGAAATCTGGGCACCTTGAAAAAAGAACAGGATAACAGCAATTGTTCAGGGAATAAGAGAGATAACCTTAGACTCTGACGGCTGGTGATCCAGGTGTAACAGAGCCATATTTCTCTTCTTTGAAAAGCAAATGGGAGAAATATCACTGAATTCTTTTTCTCAGCAAGGAACATCCCTGAGAAAGAGAATGCACCCCTGAGGGTGGGCCTATAAATGGCCCCCTTGGGTGTGGCCATCTTCTATGGTCAAAACTGTATGGGTGAAATAAACCCCAGTCTCCTGTAGCATTCCCAGGCTTATTAGGAAGAGGAAATTCCTGCCTAATAAATTTTGGTCAGACCAGTTGCTCTCAAACCCTGTCTCCTGTTAAGATGTTGTCAATGACAATGGTGTCTGAAACTTCAATAGCAGTTTTAATTTTGCCCCGGTCCTGTGGTCTTGTGAACTTGCCCTGCCTCTGTTTGCCTTGTGATATTCTATTACCTTGTGAAGTACGTGATCTTTATGACCCACACCCTATTCGTACACTTCCTCCACTTTTGAAAGTCCCTAATAAAAACTTGCTGGTTTTGTGGCTTGGGGGGCATCACGGAACGTACCGACATGTGATATCTCCCTGGGATGCCCAGCTTTAAAATTTCTCTCTTTTGTACTCTCCCCCTTTATTTCTCAAACCAGCTGACACTTAGGGAAAATAGAAAAGAACCTACGTGACTATCGGGGCAGGTTCCCTGATATTTATTGGCATAATAGACTAAGGGTTTCTGTATTTTGACTTTGGTAATTTTTACAAATGGTTTTTGCCTGGTACTGTTGAAGTTAGGCTTAATTTTGAACCAGTAGATTTGTTTACCTTATGTGGTTTTGGGTTCATTTGTTCTATACGTATAATGCATATTCTTTTGGGGGTAATTTGGCTTTATTTCCGCTTTTTTATTTTTACATCTGGGACTGGAGAAATTGCTAGAATTTCAATAAGTTTGATTTGAAATCAGGCAACAGAACATCCCAGAAAAGACTGAAGGTTGTATGTACTGGATAATGCCTTTAGGTGAGTTTTATACATAAAACACAGTTCAGTAAAATTTATACAATCATTTCAAGTTTGTTAAATTTGAGAACAAAATGCCTATGGCATATTAGGCACTTGTCTTAGTTTCTCTTTGACATCCCTATCTTGGAGAAGCTGACATTACATGAAAGGATATTGCCTAATATAATATAATAAGACATGGAACAAATACTTATGTGCTAGAAACATTCCCCTTAGTAACCCTTAAATACATTTTATTCTGGCTCAATTCTTTTTTTTTTTTTAATTGACAGAGTTTTGCTCTTGTTGCCCAGGCTTGAGTGCAATGGCACGACTTCGGCTCACTGCAACCTTCGCCTCTTGGGTTGAAACTATTCTCCTGCCTCAGCCTCCCAAGTAACTGGGATTACAGTGCCTCCCACCATACCCGGCTAATTTTTTTTTATTTTTAGTAGAGATGGGGCTTCACTATATTGGCCAGGCTGTTCTCAAACTATTGATCTCAGGTTGTCTGCCCACCTCAGCCTCCCAAAGTCCTGGGATTACAGGAGTGAGACACCACACCTGGCTGGCTCAATTCTTTTGGCACAACTATTTTTGATACCAGAGGCTTCTTCCCACCAAATTTAAGCCATGATGTTTTCAAGTTTGTATTTTTAGTTTTATTTGCTTGTTTTGTTTTTTACTTTCTTGGAAAAGGGAGTGTGGGTTTACCTCTGTAAAATGAGATCAGCCTATTTGTAGTTTTACCCAGTAAGCTTCATAGTTGACATCATTATATTGAATTTCCCCAGGCCACCCTGAGCTTCAGAGCTGATCATCCTACCTCATTCCTCTTGGTTTTTCAGGCTCTGATGTTAAGTCCCTCTCACTTCAAATTTGAGCTTTCATAATGCCTCAGCTTGAAAGAAGCAGAAGAAAGTGTTGCCATATTTATTTGGATGAGGATCAAGACTTTACATCCATCATTCATAGTACAAAGCAACACTTTTAATAATGTGGACATGTTTCACTCAAATTAAATATAAGCAGTATCAACATGCCAATATAGTCAAAATAAATAACTGTCAAGTTTACCAAAATGTTTTGCTTTAGATTTTCCCAGCACAAAGATCAATATGTATGCATTGGTGGATGTTAGGATTTTTTTGTGTAGGTTTTTGTTTGTTTTTTTGTTTTTATTTTTTACAGATTTTCATCCTACTTTACTCTGATGTAAATTTAACTGCCCAAGGCTTACCAGAAACTTTATTTTACATTATTTTTACCAAAATTTCATATTCTCAAATATTAAAAGTGGCATTCTGTATTACCATTTTTCAAGTAATGTAGTCTGCATTTATTAATACATTTCAATGTATTTTTTTTACATGGGATAAGGTTATAAAAATGCCTTGCAGTTGATTTTCCAGGTAATAACAGAATCTGTTTTCTCAAACAGTAGCATGAGAATTCTTGATATACCACCTTCAGAGGTACTGAAAACAACCATATAATTTTGCTGAAATTTGGATTTTTTCATAATCACTTCAGAGGCTGAGTCACGGCAACATATGACAGCTGAATTAGTTCTTCTTCTCTAAATGTTGTGGAGCCACATCCACCTGTGTAAATAATGCTAACTGGGTAAAAGCTTTTTTATACTAAGCCAGAAGTCATTATACCTGGTGGTTTTATTTTAAATATATGAACAGTATTCTATAACATTCAAATAAGTAATAGAAATTTAATTCCATATATATGGAAAGAAAAGTTATACAGGCACACTGAGAATAAATTGGAATCTGGAACTGAACACTGATTAGCATGGCCTATAAAATCAAAACCAAGTTAATTACTTCTAAGATACAATGAAGGTACAGGCGTTGGATGAGGATGCTCCCATTCCATATAGGAGAACTGGACAAAACAAAGGGGCTAAAGGCCCCATGCAAGTCCAGAATCCAGCAGGGTAGTCATTGAATTTTAAAGCTCCAAAATAATCTCCTTTGACCATGTGTCTCACATTCAGGTCACACTGGTGCAAGAAGTAGGCTCTCATGGTCTTGGGCAGCTCTGCCCCTGTGCCTTTGCAGGGTACAGCCCCATTCAAAGCTGCTTTCATAGGCTGGCATTGAGTGTCTGCAGCTTTTCAAGATGTACAATGCAAGCTGTTGGTTGATCTACCATTCTGGGATCTGGAGAATAGTGGCTCTCTTCTCACAGCTCCACTAGGCAGTGCCTCAGTGGGGACTGTGTGTGAAGGCTCTGACCTCACATTTCTCTTCTGCACTGCCCTAACAGAGGTTCTCCATGAGGGCTCCACCCCTGCAGCAAACTTCTTCCTGTATATCCAGGCTTTTCCTTACATGCTTTTAAATCTAGGTGGAGGTTCCCAAACCCCAATTCTTGACTTCTGTGCACTCACAGGCTCAACACCACATGGAAGCCAACAAAGCTTGGGGCTTGTACCTACAGAAGCAATGGTCTGAACTGTACCTTGGCCCCTTTTATCCACAGATGTAGTGGCTGGGACACAGGGCACCAAGTACTGAGGTGGCACAAAGCAGCAAGGCCTGGACCCTGCACACAAAGCCATTTTTTTCCTCTTAGACCTCCTGGTCTGTGATGTGAAAGGCTTCTGTGAAGGTCTCTGACATGCCCTGGAGACATGTTCCCCATTGTCTTGGTGATTAACATTAGGCTCCTTGTGGCTTATGCAAATTTTTGCAGCTGGCTTGAACTTTTACCCCCAATAATGGGTTTTTCTTTTCTATAGCATTATCAGGCTGCAAATTTTTCCAAACTTTTATGCTCTGCTTCCCTTTTAAACGTAAGTTTCTATTTCAGATCATCTAAGTTCAAAGTTCCACAGCTCTTTAGGGCAGGGGAAAATGCTGCCAGTTTCTGCTTAAGCATAGCAAGAGTGACCTTTGCAGTAGTTCCCAATAGGTTTCTCATCTCCATCTCCAGACCCAAAGTCACTTTTACATTGCTGGTATCTTTATAGCAGTATCCAACTCTACCAGTACGAATTTACTGTAATAGTCCATTCTCACACTGCAATAAAAATCTTCCCAAGACTGAGTAATTTATAAAGCAAAGAGGTTAAATTGACTCACAGTTCCTCATAGCTGGGGAGGCCTCAGGAAACTTACAATCATGGCAAAAGGCAAAGGAGAAGCAAACTGGACCTTCTTACATGGCAGCAGGAAAAAGAACATGTGTGTGTGTGCAGAAAAAACTACGATTTATAAAACCATCAGAATTCATGAGAATTCACTCAGTATCACAAGAACGGCATGGGGGGAACTACCCCCCATGATCCAATCACTTCCCACCAGGTGTCTCCCTTAACATATGGGGATTACAATTCAAGATGAGATGGGGGCACACAAAGCCTAACCATATCTATCATGAAGACATAGTCCCAATTCCCTGATATCTCTGCTTCCTAACCCCTGTGTGAGACAGGCTATGTGTGTCCCAGAATGGCCTGTTTCTCTTGATTTGGAGGGCAGTGTATTAAGCACCTTTCAGCAGAATTCACCTTCTCTGTATGAATTAAGTCCTAGGCACAATTCACAATGCCAGCTCTCAATAAATTTTTTACTGTAATTTGTTTCCAGAAATGATATCAGAGCAGAAACACAAAGCAAAATAAACCAAAAGATAGGTAATGCTGAATGGTTGGAAAGTATATTTATGAAAGAGCTATGCGTCACAAAATCATCTTTGCTATGATTCAAGGGAGAAATCGTTTAACACCAACCCCATCATATCCACATAAATCCAGCAATCTAGAGACTGTTGGTCTTTTTTCTTTTCTGCATTATGTTTCTGCTCTCAGTAAAGCAAGGTTTTAATTGTAATATTGAAGCATTGGAAATTTAACACCAAGATATTTTCAAAACTAAGTGTTTTTTTTTGTTTCTTTTTGTTTTTGTTTTTTTTGACAGAGTCTCGCTCTGTCACCCAGGCTGGAGTGCAGTGGCGTGATCTCGGCTCGCTGCAAGCTCTGCCTCCCAGGTTCATGCCAGTCTCCTGTCTCAGCCTCCTGAGTAGCTGGGACTACAGGCGCCCGCCACCACACCTGGCTAATTTTTTTTTTTTTTTGTATTTTTAGTAGAGACAGAGTTTCACCATGTTAGCCAGGATGGTCTCGACCTCCTGGCCTCGTGATCCGCCTGCCTTGGCCTCCCAAAGTGCGGGGAATACAGGCATGAGCTACCGCGCCTGGCCAAAACTAAGTTTTAATTATAATAGGAAAACTAATGTGAGGCCAGAAATTGTTGACTTTGTTCACAGAATGCTAATTTTCCCCAGACAAAATATGCAGAGCTATGTTTCATTAATATGCAGAGCTATGTTTTATTACCAAAACACACTATTGCCAAATGCACAAAAGGAAAAAAGATATTTGTACCCTGTGCTAAAACAGATTCGTTTGTGGTATTTAAATGACAAAACTGGAATTATTTCAACCCGGAAATCATTGTTTCAAATTTCCATGGTTAAAGGTTTGCTCAAGCAAATCTCAAGACACAGGTATGTATTTCAGAACATCAACCAAATTCGAGTTTGCATCCCATTTTTGGTACCTTGTAAATAGAAATTTCAAAATCTTCCTCAAAAATATCTGCATTTGTTTTCCAGATTCTTGCAACCCAAAACAAAACCTCACAGAAACTCTGCACAAGAGTTGGTAGACAGCTAAACCTTCTCCAAATTGAGTTATGGACAATAAGGTCTTGATTATAGCAGAACTGGAAGGTCTATTTACAAGCCTGCACACAGTGCTGTGTAAATTGGCTGCTGGGGCACATTGATTGGCAGGGAAAGGCCAGGGAGGCAGTTGAATCCCTGGCATTATTCAAAACTTTTTTGCTAGTTTCATTATTCCTAGAATTTTGAACCTTATTAAGACATTCCCTAACCTATGTCATACTCTAGAGCACTCTACTCAGAATCCTGATAAAATACACTCTTTTTTTGTTGTTTTTTAAAGTGTACATTTCAATGATTTTTAATAATTTTTTTATACTTTAAGTTCTAGGGTACATGTGTGCAACGTGCGGTTTGTTACATATGTATACATGGGCCATGTTGGTGTGCTGCACCCATTAACTCGTCACTTACATTAGGTATATCTCCTATTGCTATCCCTCCCTTCTTCCCCCACCCCACAACAGGGCCTGGTGTGTGATGTTCCCCTTCCTCTGTCCAAGTGTTCTCATTGTTCAATTCTCACCTATGAGTGAGAACATACTGTGTTTGGTTTTTTGTTCTTGTGATAGTTTGCAGAGAATGATGGTTTCCAGCTTCATCCATGTCCCTACAAAGGACATGAACTCATCCTTTTTCATGGCTGCATAGTATTCCATGGTGTATATGTGCCACATTGTCTTAATCCAGTCTATCATTGATGGACATTTGGGTTGGTTCCCAAGTCTTTGCTATTGTGAATAGTGCCACAATAAACATACATGTGCATGTGTCTTTATGGCAGCATGATTTATAATCCTTTGGTTATACACCCAGTAATGGGATGGCTGGGTCAAATGGTATTTCTAGCTCTAGATCCTTGAGGAATTGCCACACTGACTTCCACAATGGTTGAACTAGTTTACAGTTCCAGCAAAAGTGTAAAAGTGTTCCTATTTCTCCACATCCTCTCCAGCACCTGTTGTTTCCTGACTTTTTAATGATTGCCATTCTAACTGGTGTGAGATGGTATCTCATTGTGGTTTTGATTTGCATTTCTCTGATGACCAGTGATGATGAGCATTTTTTCATGGTCTGTTGGCTGCATAAATGTCTTCTTTTGAAAAGTGTCTGTTCATATCATTTGCCCACTTTGTGATGGGGTTGTTTGTTTTTTTCTTGTAAACTTGTTTGAGTCCTTTGCAGATTCTGGATATTAGCCCTTTGTCAGATGAGTAGATTGCAAAAATCTTCTCCCTTTCTGTAGGTTGCCTGTTCATTCTGATGGTAGTTTCTTTTGTTGTGCAGAAGCTCTGTAGTTTAATTAGATCCCATTTGTCAATTTTGGCTTTTGTTGCCATTGCTTTTGGTATTTTAGACATGAAGTCCTTGCCCATTCTTATGTCCCGAATAGCATTGCCTAGGTTTTCTTCTAGGGTTTTTATAGTTTTAGGTCTAACATTTAAGTCTTTAATCCATCTTGAATTAATTTTTGTATAAGGTGTAAGAAAGGGATCCAGTTTCAGCTTTCTACATATGGCTAGCCAGTTTTCCCAGCACCATTTACTAAATAGGGAATCCTTTCCCCATTTCTTGTTGTTGTCAGGTTTGTCAAAGATCAGATGGTTGCAGATGTGTGGTATTATTTCTGAGGGCTCTGTTCTGTTCCAGTGGTCTATATCTCTGTTTTGGTACCAGTACCGTGCTCTTTTGGTTACTGTAGCCTTGTAGTATGGTTTGAAGTCAGGTAGCGTCATGCCTCCAGCTTTGTTCTTTTTGCTTAGGATTGACTTGGAGACGCGGGCTCTTTTTTGGTTCCATTTGAAATTTAAAGTAGTTTTTTCCAATTCTGTGAAGAAAGTCTTTGGTAGCTTGATGGGGATGGCATTGAATCTATAAATTACCTTGGGCAGTATGGCCATTTTCACGATATTGATTCTTCCTACCCATGAGCATGGAATGTTCTTCCATTTGTTTGTATCCTCTTTTATTTCCTTGAGCAGTGGTTTCTAGTTCTCCTTGAAGAGGTCCTTCACATCCCTTGTAAGTTGGATTCCTAGGTATTTTATTCTCTTTGAAGCAATTGTGAATGGCAGTTCACTCATGATTTGGCTCTCTGTTTGTCTGTTGTTGGTGTATAAGAATGCCTGTGATTTTTGCACATTGATTTTGTATCCTGAGGCTTTGCTGAAGTTGCTTATCAGCTTCAGGAGATTTTGGGCTGAGACGATGGAGTTTTCTAAATATACAATCACGTCATCTTCAAACGGGGACAATTGAATTTCCTCTTTTCCTAATTGAATAATCTTTATTTCTTTCTCCTGCCTTAGTGCCCTGGCCAGAACTTCCAACACTATGTTGAATAGGAGTGGTGAGAGAGGGCATCCCTGTCTTGTGCCAGATTTCAATGGGAATGCTTCCAGTTTTTGCCCATTCAGTATGATACTGGCTTTGGGTTTGTCATAGATAGCTCTTATTATTTTGAGATACGTCCCATCAATACCTAATTTATTGAGAGTTTTTAGCATGAAGGGTTGTTGAATTTTGTCAAAGACCTTTTCTGCATCTATTGAGATAATCATGTGGTTTTTGTCATTTGTTCTGTTTATATGCTGGATTACATTTATTGATTTGCGTATGTTGAACCAGCCTTGCATCCCAGGGATGAAGCCCACTTGATCATGGTGGATAAGTTTTTTGATGTGCTGCTAGATTTGGTTTGCCAGTATTTTATTGAGGATTTTTGCATCAATGTTCATCAGGGATATTGGTATAAAATTCTCTTTTTTTGTTGTGTCTCTGCCAGGCTTTGGTATCAGGATGATGCTGGCCTCATAAAATGAGTTAGGGACGATTCCATCTTTTTCTATAGATTGGAATAGTTTCGGAAGGAATGGTACCAACTCCTCTTTTTACCTCTGGTAGAATTCAGCTGTGAATCCATCTGGTCCTGGCCTTTTTTTGGTTTATGTCCAATCAAAAATTTATATCCAGAATATATGAAGATTTATAGGAAATTTTTATACATTCTGGATATAAATTTTTGATTGGACCTAAACATTGCAGATATCTTCTCTCAATTTAACTTGTCTTTTCTTTCTCTTAATGGTGACTTCGTTAATGCCAATTTCTTCATTTTAATGTAGTTCAATTTATCAGACTTTTTCTGTGTAGTTAATGCTTATTTAGTCTTGCTTAAGAAATTTTTGTCTACCCAATTGTCATAAAGGTATTCTTCTATGTTACAGAAGCTTTTTAAAAAATTTTTACCCTTTCAGATTGAGCTTTATAACCCACCTACGATTGACTTTTGTTTCTGATGCAAGACAAGGGTTAAAGTCTTTTATTCCCCCATATTGATATCCAAATTATCTACCACCATTTATTGAGAAGATTGTTATTTCCTCACTGCACTGCAGTTTCACCTTTGTCATAAATCAGGTGATGGTATAAGTATGAGTTTGCTTTTGATTTCTCTATTTGTATGTCCTGCTAATACCATCTTATTTTAATTGTAATAAAGTTGGAGACATCTGATGGTATAGATTCTTGAGCTCTATTCTTCTTCAGAACTTTCTTGGTTCTCTTGTCCTTTTAAATTTTCAAAAAAAATTTAAATTAGCTTGTCCATTTCCAAATTACCTGATAGGATTTTGAGTAGGATTGCATTCAACCATAATTTAATGAGTAGAAATGACTTATTTACAATATAAAATCTTTCTATTCATAAACATTGTATGTCTTTTTTATGTATACAATATTTATATCTGTTTTAAAATTTTTACTTTAATTTCTGGGATACATGTGCAGAATGTACAGGTTTGTTACATAGGTATATATGTGCTGTGGTGGTTCGCTCCATCTATCAACCTGTAATCTAAGTTTTAAGCCCCACATGCATGAGGTATTTGTCCTAATGCTCTCCCTCCTCTTCCCCTCCAACCCCTGACAGGCCTCTGTGTGTGATGTTCCCCTCCGTGTGTCCATGTGTTATTGTTCAACTCCCATTTGTGAGTGAGAACATGCACTGTTTGGTTTTCTGTTCCTGTGTTAGTTTGCTGAGAATGATGGCTTCTAGTTTCATCCATGTCTCTTCAAAGAACATGAACTCATGATTTTTTTATGGTTGCATAACCTTCCATGTTGTACTCTAATTTGTACATGTACAAATTAGAACTCAGGATTAAGAAACTCACTCAAGGCCGGGCGCGGTGGCTCACGCCTGTAATCCCAGCACTTTGGGAGGCCGAGGCGGGCGGATCACGAGGTCAAGAGATCGAGACCATCCCGGCTAAAACGGTGAAACCCCGTCTCTACTAAAAATACAAAAAAATTAGCCGGGCGTAGTGGCGGGCGCCTGTAGTCCCAGCTACTCGGGAGGCTGAGGCAGGAGAATGGCGTGAACCCGGGAGGCGGAGCTTGCAGTGAGCCGAGATCCCGCCACTGCACTCCAGCCTGGGCGACAGAGCGAGACTCCGTCTCAAAAAAAAAAAAAAAAAAAAAAAAAAAAAAAAAAAAAAAAAAAAAAAGAAACTCACTCAAAACCACACAATTACATGGAAATTGAACAACCTGCCCCTGAATGACTACTGGGTAAATAATGAAATTAAGGCAGAAATAACAAAGTTGTTTGAAACCAGTGAGAACAAAGAGACAACGTACCAGAATCTCTGAGACACAGTTGAAGTAGTGTTAAGAGGGAAATTTATAGCACTAAATGCCAATAACAGAAAGCTGGAAAGATCTAAAATCGACCCCTTAATATCACAATTAAAAAACCTAGAGAAGAGTAAACAAATTCAGAAGCTACCAGAAGACAAGAAATAACTATGATCAGAGTAGAACTGAAAGAGATAGAGACACGAAAAACCCTTCAAAATATCAGTGAATCCAGGAGATTAACAAAATAAATGGACCACTAGCTAGACTAACAGAGAAAAAAGGGAAGAATCAAGTAGACATAATAAAAAATGATAAAAGGGGCTGGGTGTGGTGGCTCATGCCTGTAATCCCAGCACTTTGGGAGGAGAAGGCAGGTGGATCATGAAGTCAGGAGTTCAAGACCAGCCTGGCCAATATGGTGAAACCCCATCTCTACTAAAAATACAAAAATTTGCTGGGTGTGGTGGTGTGTGCCTGTAGACCCAGCTACTAGGGAGACTGAGGCAGAAGAATTGCTTGAACCCCAGAGGTGGAAGATGCAGTGAGCCGAGATAGCACCACTGCACTCCAGCTTGGGTGACAGAGTGAGACTCCATCTCAAAAAAAAAAAAAAAAGAATGATAAAGGATGCATCACTATTGATCCCACAGAAATACAAATTACCCTCAGAGAATACTATAAACATCTCTCTGCAAATAAACCTGAAAATCTAGAAAATATGGATACATTCCTGGCACATACACCCTCCCACGACAAAATCAGGAAGAAGTAGAATCCCTGAATAGACCTATAAAAAGTTCTGAAATTGAGTCAGTAATGAATAGCTTACCAACCAAAAAAAGCCCGGGACCAGACGGATTCATGGCTGAATTATGCTGGAGATATAAAGAGGAGCTGGTACCATTCCTTCTGAAACTATTCCAAACAATGGTAAAAGAGGGACTCCTCCCTAACTCATTTTATGAGGCCAGCGTCATCCTGATACCAAAACCTGGCAGAGACACAACAAATAAAGAAAATTTCAGGCCAATAGCCCTTATAAACATTGATGTGAAAATCCTCAATAAAAGACTGGCAAAATGAATCCAGAAGCACATACAAAAGTTTATCCACCATGTGCAACACTTTTTTAAAAGGCATGCTTCAATAAAGAAACACTTCTATGTAGTCAGGAAACTATCTCTTTGAGTCTAACATAGATTACAGCCTTGACATGAATAAGATTCTTCTTTTATGTACTCAATAAATGTTTGCTTATAGCCTATTTTATGCTGGGTAGTATTATGGGAACTGGAGAGAAAAGGTCTGTCTTTATGTAGCTTGCAGTATAGTGACAGAGATAGAACATAAATGCATAAACAGTTGCACACTAAAGTGATGGCTGTACTAAGCGCTATGAAGAAGTATATTAGCCAAGTGTGGTGGTGCTCACCTGTGTTCCCAGCTACTTGGGAGGCTGAGACAGGAAGTCTGCTTGAGCCCCAGAGTTTGAGGCTGCAGTGATCCATGATTGTGCCACTGCACCCCAGCCTTGGTGACAGAGTGAGACCTTGTGTAAATAAAAAGTATAATACTACAAAGAAAATAATGTAGGGTAATCACATTCAGGGTGTCAAGGACTGCTACTTTAGATAGAGAGCTCTGGAACAATCTTTTTGAGGAGACGACACTTGAGCAGGTCAGAATGGTATGACCGAGTGAGTTAAGCGAATGTCTAGAGGGCAGAGAGAAGAGACACTGTGCAGAGTCTGAATACAGACAGCACTTGATGAGCTCAAAGATCACTACAAAGACCAGTCAGGCTGCAGGCACTGGGAGGAGGAAAGGAGAATGCACACTCTGAGGAGCAGATAAATACAGACCATAGTAAAGAGCTTAGATTTCTTTGTTAATTGTGATAGGTAACCACTGGAGGATTCAGAGCTGGGAATGAAATGGTATAAGATATGTTCTTACAGGAATAGTCCAGCTTTGTGGGAGAATAGATTACAGATTACCATAAATAGAATAATAATAAATGCAAAGGCAGCTTAGAAATGATTATATCTGTCCAGGGGTTGATACTGGTGGTGTTAGAACTGTGAGGTCCAGTATGATAGCCACCAGCTGCATTTAGTTTTTTACACTTAAATTAATTAACATACCATAAAATTTATTCCTACCAGGGACTTGGGAGGAAAGGGAGAATGAGGAGTTATTGCTTAATGAGTACAGAGTTTCAGTTTGGGGTGAAAAAAAATTTTGGAAATACATAGTTTTGATGATTGCACAACATTCTGAATGTAATTAATGTCTCCGAATTTTATGTTTAAAATGGCAAAGCTTATTACATAGGTTTTACCACAATAAAACATTACAAAATTAATCGCAGAACCAAAACTCTAAAACCATTTTTTAAAATTGTATAAATTTAAGGAGTGCAAGTGCAATTTTGTTACATGGGTATATGGGGTAGGAGTGAAATCTGAGCTTTTAATGTGTTTATCACTGGAACAATGTACACTGTATCCACTAAGTAATTTCTCATCACCCTTCCCCCTCCCACCCTCTCACCCTTCTGAGTCTACAGTGTCTTATCATTTTACACTCTTTGTTCATATTTACACATTATGTATTTCCCGTTTTTAAGTAAGAACATGCAGTATTTGATTTTATGTTTCTGAATTGGAAAACTATAAAACTCTTAGAATAAAAAATAACAATAAATCTTTATGGCTTTGGATTTGGCAATAGTTTCTTAGATATGGCACCAAAAGCACAGTGATAAAAGAAAATGTACTGGGCTTCATCAAATTTAGAAACATTTGTGTTTCAAAGGACGTAACAAACAAAATAAAACAACAACCAGAAAAGTGGAGAAAATCTTTGCAACTTATATATTTGATTAGAAATCTGTATCCAAAATGCATAAATAACTTTTACAACTCAACAGTAAAAAGAAAAAAATCATAAAAATAGGCAAAATATTTAAATAGACATTTTTGTGAAGAAGATATAAGAGTGTCCAATAAGTGCATGAAGAAAAGCCTAACATCACAAGTCATCAAGAAAATGCAAAATCAAAACTACAAGCAGATATCACTTAACACTCACTAGTGTACCTACAATGAAAAATGACAAATGGTTGGGTGCGGTGACTCACGCCTGTAATCCCAGCACCTTGGGAGGCTGAGGTGGATGGATCACGAGCTCAGGAGATCCAGACCATCCTGGCTAACATGGTGAAACCCCTTTAGCCATGTTACCGTGAAACATGGTAAAAAACACAAAAAATTAGCCGGGTGTGGTGGCAGGCGACTGTAGTCCCAGCTACTCGGGAGGCTGAGGCAGGAGGATGGCGTGAACCCGGGAGGCAGAGCTTGCAGTGAGCTGAGAGTGCACCACTGCACTCCAGCCTGGTGAGGCCGTAGAGAAATTAGATCTTTCATACATTGCCGGTGGGAAAGTAAAATAGTGCACACTTTGGAAAACTGTGAGGTGATTGCTGAAAAGGTTATGCATAGGTACCTTACGACCCAGCAATTCCATTCCTAGGTACATACCCAATAGAAATGAAAACGTATGAATGAAATATACAAAAGTTTGTACCTAAATATTATAGCGGCATTATCATAATTCTGAATAATATATACTAAATCGAAGTGATATTAAAAGTAATATTGATGAAATAAAATTAGAAATATAAAATTTTTACCAGCGATTGATTCAGCTGATTCAAATTACTTCTTACAGTCTTCAATTCCATATTTTGTACATTCGGAGAGCGAGTTCAAGTTGCTTCACTTCTAACTTTTTCTTTTGCTGCTTTTTGAATTTTCCTAATTCTTCCCTAATTTTTTCATTTAATATATTGGCACTTCTTCTCTTCTCTTCTTCTTGTTTTAAAGTCAATCTGCCATTAAATATACTTATCTTAAAATTCATTTTGTTAGAAAATAGAATTCACTTTGAGATCTACTTCTTCCTATGTTGGTTTATTATTCCAATAAAATTCCTACATTCTTGAATACATTTTTCCTTTCTAGTTCTGAGTTATTTAATTTATTACTGAACTCTCTTCCTAATGATACACATACTTGAAAAATAGTGAGAAAAGAACATCTTCTAGTTAGAAAGATTCTGTTACTAGTAACTTCAACAACTGTTATGGAAAAGAATACTGGAAGCTATCCAGTAAAGTTATAAGTTGAAAATTATTATTTTAAAAATATAACAGTCAAAATTACTCCTCAATGAGGACAGATCATTTAGAGTTAACTAATTAAAATGATGTTACTTTTTATAAACAAGTTTACATATTTATTAGACATAAATATTCATCTTTAAAAAATAAGGCAAGTATCCTTAAAAATAATTATAATATTATAATATGAGACTAGGCTGAAGAATCTAATATCTGTTATCCCATATATCTTTTGTTTCTTTTTTTAGTAATACTTTAAATGTATCTTGTTGATTATTTTATATTTTATCAATAAATTTTAAATCTCTTTTAGAATAAGACAGAATATAATATTTAATTAAAAAATAAAAATAAGTATTTTTAACATAGAACTCTGAATTAACTTTATTTATGTAGGAGAGAGAGAGATGTTGAATATACTAGTCATAAATTACTCTATGTTTTTCTTTATACTCCATGCATATTAAGATTACAAGTGTATAATTAAAGGAAAATGATTATTGGGGGTAGAGGAATGGCTGTTTCACACTCTCTTTGTTGAACTATAAATGAATATAAATTTTCTTGAGAACAATTTAGAAGTAATGAACAAAGAACTTCTTAAAAACTTCCTATAATTTAACCAAATATTTTTATATTGAAGAATTTATTCCAAGTCAATAATAAGAATGGTAGAAATGGATTTACATGCAGTTATGCCTTGCAGCACTTATTATAACACAAAAAAATTAAAAAAAATTAATGTTAAGTAAATAATGGGGTTTCCAAATAATGGCCTTCTACGTAGCCATTAAAATTGTGATTTAAATAAATATGCATTTAATTATCAGGAGATGTATTCACAGTTAAGAACTTGTATTATTTAAATGGATTTGACACTCTGCAAGACAGAGATTTCTTTCTCCAGTTAAACCTCAGAAGGTAAGTCAGCTAGTACAAAAAATATCCTATATACTAGTATGTCATACCTCACACTGCAGAGCTCTTGTTCTCTTTTAACTTTTTGATTCTCTATGATTTTATTTCTTTTGGTTCTGATAGTTCCTTTTGTAGTATATGAAGCTTTTTTTTCATTTGTTTCATTTTGGCTGTAAGTTGTTCACAGGGATTTTTTTTCTTTTTTTGACGGAGTCTCGCTCTGTTGCCTAGGCTGGAGTGCAATGGCGTGTTCTCCACTCACTGCAAGCTCCGCCTCCTGGGTTCATGCCATTCTCCTGCCTTAGCCTCCTGAGTAGCTGGGACTACAGGCACCCGCCACCACGCCTGGCTAATTTTTTTTTGTATTTTTTGTAAAGACGGGGTTTCACTGTGTTAGCAAGGATGGTCTTGATCTCCTGATCTCATGATCTGCCCGCCTTGGCCTCCCAAAGTGATGGGATTACAGGCGTGAGCCACGGCGCCTGGCTCACAGGGATATTTTTTAATTTCCCTTGCTCTTTCACAAGAAAGAATTGCATCCAAGAATTTTGATAGGCTAGTTGAATCTGTCTCCAGGAGGAGATAGAAATAAAATATATAAGTACTTTTGGGATATAAAGAACTGCATATTTTAACAATCACTAATTCATACACTGATCAAATATATATTGTTTGCCTACCTCGTGGAAGGCATTATACTAAGCTCTGCAGATTAAACAGAAAAAAACAAAAACCTCTGCCTTTGTTTAACTTAAAATGTGCTAAAAGACGAAGCCCCAGAAAAGTGACAGTTATAAATTCAGATAGATACTGTAAGAAAACAGTTTGCTAAGAATTAGATCTATACTAGGCTCATGGAAAATTCCCCCGAGGAATGTATAGCTACACTGAGGAATGAAGAATGAAAAGGAAGCAGTTGAGCAAAAGGGAAGGAAAGCATTTTAGCCAGTCTGTGGCATGTGCTGAAACTCTAGTGTAGTCTGCCTCTAGCCAAGGGAGAGCAACAGGTATGATTTTTCTTCTTAGCTAAAATAACTAAAATCAAAACACACAAAATACAGTAAATAATTTTTCAGACACTGGACATTAGGCAAAGAAGATAATAATCCCTAAAAAACAGAAAAAAAAACACGAAAGAAAGCAAACCTTATGAATGTTTCAGCTTCCTGCCTTGATAGAGATTCGGAGACATGACACAGGAAGAAAAAACTGAGGTGGGATCTACCAGACTCTCTTGGTTACATTGATGAAGCTTAGAGTCTGGTAAAACCAAAGCAGACAGATATTACAGAACAAACACTGAGGAGGAGAGAGAGATACAGAATCAACGGCAAGAAACTCCCTGTCAGTATTTAGCGAAATTTTGGAAATTGCATATGAGCTAGAAAACTACCTAAGAACAAACCGGGTGGGGGTGGGGGTGGGGGGTGGCCTATAAAATTAGAGGAAATCACACCTGGTGCTCACACAGTGCCAAAAAGAGCGTCTATTTTTATAGATTTGCCTGGGAAAACTCAGACTTCACAGGAAAATGAATGCTCAGAAAGGCCTTGCCTTAGGTATGGGGAGTTAGCTCATACCATAAAAAGAAAAATGAAAAGGATCAAGCTCTTTATAAGTAACTCAACTCTATTCTACTATAAAAATCAAGAAGATAAGTAAAGCAATAGAAGATACTTTTAAAAACCAAATTGCACTTGTAGAGATACAAGTTACAATGCTGGAGATGAAAGCTGCACTGAGTAGATATGAGCATAGATTAATTCACCATCATGAAATAAAAGATTCACAAATTTGAGACACTAGTGAACTAAGAGCAAACTTCCAGCAGGTAATATATAAGTCTGCAAAGAGGTAGGAGGAGAGGCAGAATAAAAAATTTGAGAAAAAATTGGCTAAATATGTTTTAAACTTAATGAAAGCCATAATCCCACAGATCTAGGCTGGGATCTGGCTGATAGAAAAGAAATGAAAATATGATTGTAATTTCTTATACCATCTATGATATGATATAATATTACTTGAAGATGGATTGTGATGAGGTAAATTCATACACTATAAATCCCAAAGCAACTACTAAGACAGCAAAGAGTTATACCTAATACCAAATAAACTTATACCAAAAAAGATATGACTAAATCATAAAGAAATGTAAAACTAGATTAATAACTAAAAAAGTTATGCATATACAGATATATAACTAAATCATAAAAATTACTAAACTAGTCTGAAGGAAGCAGAAAAAGGAAAAAAGCAAAGCAAAGATCTGGGACTAATAGAAATCAAACAGTGTGATGACAGACAACTCTAATCATATCAATAATTACATTATAAATTAAACTGGTCTAAAAACCTCTGCTCAAAGGCAGATTGTCAGAATGGATAAAAAAGCAAGTCTTACCTGTATAATGCATATAAGAAATAAACTTTAAATATAAAGACAAAAATTAGTTAAAAGATGAAACAAGATATACCACACTAACACTTGACAAAAGAAGGCTGAGGAAGAGTGGTTGTATTAATACCAAAGTACATTTCATAGCAAAAATATTACCAGCAATATACAAGGTCATTTTATAGTGACAAAGGGTTCAATTAATCAAGAAAACATAACAGTCCTAAATATTTATGTACATAATAACATAAATGCTTCAAAATACATGATAGAAAAATTGACACAACTGCAAAAGAAATAGACAAATTCCCAAGTATAGTCTAAAATCTCTAAACCCCTTACTCAAGTGGTATAATAAGGAGGCAGAAATTTCTGGAAAAATGTTGGCATGTGTACTCACCAGTCTAGACATTTTCCCACTCCCTGTGTATGTATGCTGCTTTAGTTACAAAAAGTTAGGTATGATCTTGGGAGATTTCTTCTTGGATACCAGAAATATCAACCACATCAAAAGTATACCTAACAACTCTAAAATAATTCTTTTGAACAGATTACCACTGAAGAACTTGTAAGTTAAATCCAGTAGATTTTTGAGTAAGTTTACTGCTTGAAATTCTCACATTTAAAAGAAATTTGTAACATCACTTTCTCAGACTCCTCTCCTACGTTTCTTTAACCACTGCTCAGTCTCCTTTACCAAGTCCTTTGACTCTTGTGAAATGTCGATATTCCCAGGGTTGTGTCAATGGCTTTCTTTTTATTCTACATCTTCTGCCTCATGGATAAGCTCATTGAGATCTATGGCTTTGCCTAATAATTATAATAAAAGTATTCTAAGCCTGCATCTTCAAGCAGAGTTCTATCTCCAGCTAGAAATGTATATAATCCAATTGCCTACTGAAAGTATCCCACATAAATGTTTCATTGAACTCAATATGTAAAGAAAACTGTTGGTCTGTCCCATTACTGTTTGCACTTCTCTGTTAACCTGACAAATTCCTACTCCTTCCCCATGAGCATTGTAAATGCTTATGCACAATCTGAAAACTTATGAATGACCTGAGATTTTATCTGTCCCCTAGCTTTTTAAACTCAATTATCACTAAGCCATATTAACTGCACCTCTTTTCTGCCTTTGCTTTATCTTTCCATTGCCACTGGAAATACATACTTATTTATTTTATATTCATATTTCCTAGTTAAACGTGGCCCCTTAACTGATGGTTTTCACAGGGAAAAAGAAACCCTATAAATTACTGTTCTTATTTTTTAAGTTAAAAAAGTTAATCAAAATAAAACAATGCCAAAGAAGGACCTACATGTTTAAATGTGTAAATTGAGCTTCTGAACTTGATTCATTTTACACTTGATGGATCAAACTTTCATAATAGATTGATACTAGGCCACAGGTTTGTTACAAAAAAAAAAAGACTATTGCATGAACTACTACAAAAGCTTCATCTTTAAATCTTTTTATGTGATTATCCTCCATCTATCTTCTATATGAAGGTCCAGAAACTATAGGCCACAGGCCAAATTCAGCTTACTAAATGGTTTTTTATACAAACTTTTATTGGAGTACAATCATGCCTCTTTGCCCATCCATTATCTATGACTCCTTTCACCCTACAATGGCAGAGTTGAATAGCTGTAATAGAGACCACATGGCCCAACATATTCGCTATCTGGCACTTTACAGGAAAAGTTTGCCAATCTCTGCTTTATACCATGACCAGAATGCCCTGATACTCAAATCTAATCTTGTGACTCCCCTGCTCAAACTTTTCCACTGTGTTCCTGCAGAAAACATTGCTGGCTTCCTATGCATAGTCATTATGTATTCTTTATTGCTGCAGAAACACAAGTTCATTTAGATATTTATTATTCCGTTACCCCCATCCAATCTTAAAAGAAAAATCATTATTCTAAGCTAATCACAGTAATAACATTTGCTTTCCTAGTGATTGGTATAGAAATAAGCATGTGGTATAATCCAGCCAATAAAATGTTACAGGAAGATTACTGCAAGCTTCCAAGTTTTCTTCCTATTTAAAAAAAAAATGTGAACAAAAGCAGCACTCCCAGACTTCAGATATTGTCTTGAGTTAGCATGATGATTGGAGCTGTTGCTAATTACCCAACCAAGAAAGGAGACATGAACAAAACACTGCTGATAGCATAACTAATAATGGGGGAGGGGGAGTGAGAACTTATAATATCCCTGTACCACCAAAACAACTTTGGTTTCTATGGTTTTAGCAATTGTTAGTTATTTTCATCTAATATTTACAGCCAGAAGTATTCTGGGAATTTTTCCAGGGCCTACAGAATAACATCTACTCGTTTCTACACTATTAAAATGTGTTGCCTAAGCTTGCCTTATCTAGACATTCAAGCCATTCCTGACTACTCCTGTACCACACTATTTCCACTAGGGAACCCAAAGTGCCAATAAACTCTACAAAGTTCACTCAAGCATCTGACCATTTGTACTTGCTTTTGTAGCTGTCTTTGTAGGACATGTGATCATCTTAGCTGTTCCTTCTTCCAAAACTTCAATTTTATTAGATGTTACTCCTGCCACGCATTCAGTCTTTACAGATGTTTCTTTTTCCTCCCATGTGGTCTTTGTAGGTCTTTCTTGTGGCCATGCAAATTTCTCAGACGTTTCTTTCACAGGCCTTGTAATTTTCCTAGGTGTTTCTCTTGCTGACTGTTCAGTCTTTCCAGATATTGTTTTCCCCAAACATTGAACTTCGTCAGATGTTCCCTCCACCAAGGGTGCAGCTTCGTGTTGGAAATAACTTTTTGGTGCCACAAAGAAGAGTTACCACTCCAGCAACAAGTTAACACTCCAGCAAGGCAAATTTACTTCTATAGAAGGGTGAGTCTTGCGGATGGAGCAATGGCAAGAGCACACTGGATAAGGGAGGGGAAAGGGTTTTTATTCCTAATGCAGATAGTCCCTACTGCTGTATCTTTCCCCTATTGGATAGGGTTGGATCACACACTCTAAGCTAATTTTGACTGGCTACTTCAAAGAGGACAGGGGTGCAAGCCAGAGTGGCAGGGTGGGTAGTTTCCTCAGGAAGGATGGTTACAGAGCAGGTGACTAAGGATGACTAAGGACAGAGCAAGTGACTAAGAATGACTAAGGACAGAGTAGGTGATAGGGACTAGGAGGGGGTCGTTTACTGAAACTAGGGGCAAGGAGGCATAAAGAATGAGGAAGTTAAACTTTAAATGGAGAACAAAGAACAGAGAAGCTGAACATACTGACTTATTGGCTCTTTGAAGAGGAACTGAGAACTCAGTGTACTTAACAATCTTCCCTCTCTTGAATTTTAAAGGACGTTAACAGGCTAAAACCTTTGAAGAGTAATTCACTGTATTCTACAATTGCCTCTTTCAATTTTTATAGCCCTTCCTCTTCAAACCTTTTTAGCATGTCTTGGCTTTTTTTTTTTCAACTTGATCCTCTAAAAGGAAAAGCCTATCTGAATAAGGTGGAGGACAGCTAAGGGAGGTTTTAGAAAGTGTTGTTTATATAAGCCTTTGCACTGCCCATGGATGCATGGTATGACACAACACCCAACAAGAATGAGTACACCCATTACTGCTGTAAAAGAAGTAAGAATTGAGGCTATGATTTCTTTCCATTTACTGAACCACCTTTCTAGCCACGTTGAGAAAGGGTTATTGACTCCAGAATTTTTAGCTAATTTTTTGGATAAAGTGGTAAATCCTTGTAGGGCCCTTGTTATGCTCTCACTGGGGGCAGTGTTGTTTGCTCCCAATGGATAAAGGTACAACACTGAGTTTTATTCATAACACAAACACCACTTTTTCAGCTAATATCATATCTAGGGCCATTCTGTTTTCCCAGGCCATCTGGCTAGTGGGCCTCAATTGTTCTGCTATTCCTTTGACAACATCCCTGGTGTAATTAATAAACCACTGTTGATTATTATAGATGTAATTTATCCAATCTACATTTTTATTGTCACCCACCAAAATATCAATTCAAATCCGGTAGCTATTTGATCTTGGGCTTAAATGTATCTCATACTCCTCATGGGATTCCAATAGCATCTAAATAAATGTGGGAGTCAAAAGACCCATAAAGGACTTCCCTTGCTTTACGATGTTGTGTTTTCCCTTTTTCTGGTTGATGAAATGCCAGAGTGAAATGTATAGCCAACTGGACTACAGCACGAGCGCTGCTCCAGTTACTTAGCAGAGTGTCCTGTAAAGGTCCACCACAATACCACCATAAATCTTCTCAGGATTGTATAAGGGCTGACTGATTGGTAAGCTCTTGGAAAGTCTTAAGCTTACTGCATCCTTTTAGGTCTCCAAGCAAAGCTAAGTTTCCTCCTTATTGTGAGAGACATGAAGTGAACTTAGTGTCAGGAGACGGAAGCTAGATGGCCCTTGGGGGCTGACCTGCAGGGTGTTGAACTTTGGGATATAGCAGAGAGAGAGATTGACATGACTTGTTACACCAGGCTGTGGAACCCTGGAAAAGAGCTACCATACAGCCTATGCCTGGTCGACTGAAGGACCATCCTAGTGGAAAGGGGACAATCTGGGCCTCTGGTCTGCCGTGTACACAAGCATAACAATTGCTTTTGTTTAAAGCACGAATGGAGTATTTGATCCATTCCAACCAGGCATTCGCATCTTGATATCCTGTCTCAGTTGCCAAAGATTGTTTTAGGTCTTTAACTTCTACAATAGCTACTTTGATCTTGTCATTAGATGGAGGAGGAACAACAGTTTCATTGTGAGAGTTTTTGGAAGAAGACTTAGGGGAAGCTGTAGGCAGTAGGGGAGCAATGAAGCATATTTCAAAGATCCAATAGGGTCTGTTTCTGAAAACTCAGCCCCCATAACATAAAACCAGCTTAAAGAAGGGAATTGGCTTAGAGAAGGGGAAGAACTTTGTAGGTTTGAAATAATAACTTGTATTGAGTTGCACTAGTTTACCTGAAAGTTAAGGGGAGCTATATCTTTAGTAAAATAAATGTATGGTTTTAGGAATTACAACTACTGGTTGGGGCAGTCCATCCTTGCTCTCACTTGCACGTAGTTGGACCAACTAGTCATAAAAGCTCTGTGTCAAGGGGGCAAGACTCCCAGTTGACACTGGGGTCTTCATTGAAACTTTCCCAGACTAAATGATCCAAATTCACTAATGTCCAGTCTGAGGACAGCCAGGAAGTACAGAGGTACTTTTCGGAAGTGGAGAGCTGTCTGTGGCCTGACAAGGCTCCACAAGGTATAACAAGGCAAGCATCAAATGTAATAGTTTGAGGCAAAATGGGTTCCATTTTCTGAGTCAATGTTTTCTATTAGCCTAAACCTGGGCACTATATTTTCAATTAAGGCCTTAACTACATTATTGGCCATCACATTTGAAAAGGGAATAGCTTTGACCCAGTGGGTAAGGTGATCTACTGTCACTAGTAAATATTTTAGACGACCTATTGGAGGCATCTCTGTGTAATCAAACTGCATACTTTAAGTCTGGACTCCTTCTCCCAAGGGGTAATCTTTTTATAGTTTGTTTATTAGTTTTCTTACATACTAAGCAACTGTCTGTAACCTGTTTGGCCAGAGTATAAATTCCTATACACCGAAAAACTTTCAGAACTGTGTCACACATGGCTTGGGGCCCCCAGTGGGTCCCTTGATGCAGTTGGGACAAGTTTTCCCTCATAAGGGGTTTGGACAACCTTTCCCTCTGGTCTGGCAATATCCATTTTTCTTTTGAATTCTCCTTAGCACCTATTTTTATTAGTTTCTCTTTTCAGTGGAAGAGAAAATGGAGATTATGTTAGGAGGAAAAAGGTAAAGAGTTCAGTGAAAAATAGATGTTTTAAAAGAAATGGCAGCCTGTTTTCCTATGTAATCTGCTAGGTTATTTCCTAGACTGTCAAAAGGAAGACTTTTCTGGTGTCTGGGGACATGGACAGTCACTCTTTCTTCTGGCAACTGAAGGTTATTCAATCCTTGGGTGAATAGCTCCTTATGAACAAGATCTTGACGTTTACTATTAATGAGACCTCGTTCAGTCCAAATTTTTCCGAATGTATGAGCCACTCCAAAGACGTACTTAGAATTGGTATAGATGGCTCCTTCCTGGTTCTGCAAGTCCTTTAAGGCTTGGCTGAGTGCAAATAGCTCACACGTTTGGGCAGTCCAATTCTTAGACAATTTTCCTGCCTCAATTTCTTCAAGAGTTTCTCCATCAATTACTGAATACCCATTGCATCTTTTTGCCTCAATCACCTGGGAGGAACCATCTATAAATAAGTGTCATCCCATCCTGAAGGGAGTTTCTCCTAGGTCTGGTCAGACCTTTGTATGGTAATCAGTTAAGTCTAAACATGAGTGCTATCTCTTTAGATTTGGATCCCCTATTAGAAAAACTGCTGGGTTAAAGGAATTATCAGTGATTAATGTTAAATCATCTTTTTCTAACAGAATAGTCCCATACTTTAAGACTCTTGAATCAGTAAGCCACCTCCCTGCTTTCTGGTTTAAGATAGTTCTAACTTGATGGGGCTTTCTTACTGTCAATTTTCCTCCAAAGGTTAACTTCCTGCTTTCTTTGGCCATTAGTGCTGTAGCCACAATGGATTGGCTGCATTGAGGCTACCCACAAGTAACTGGATCTAAGACTTTTTACAGGAAGGCCACCATGGGCTGCCGATGACCTCCATGTTCTTAAGTGGACACTCCTAAAGCTACCCCATTATCCGTGTTGACAAAAAGGTGGAATGGCTTTCCTAGGGAAGGTAAGGCTAAGACAGGCTGTTATAAGCCTTTTTATCTGCTCTTCAACCTGATCGACTTCCTCAGACGTCCACAGGAAATGGTCAGTCTTCCCCTTGGCAAATTTTGGATATAGAAGTTTACTGTTTAGTGCATATGAGTTAATCCATAAGCAGCAGTATCCAACTAACCCTAAAAATTTCCTGAGTTCTTGTTTAAGTTTGAGGCAAGGGTAGGGACACGATTCCCTCAACTCGTTCAGGCCCTATTCTTCACTTCTCTGCACTTATCAACTGGTCTAAATATTTAATTTCAGGTTCTACATACTGAAGCTTTCCCTTTGAGACTCATAACCCCTCGAACTGCAGATGGTTGAGAATATGTGTAGAGAAGCCAGCTACCTTCTCTATATCTTCACCAGATATAAGAATATCATCAACATATTGGAGCAGGCATATTTGTTTGGGATGATAACTTTTTCTAATACTTGTTCTAAAATTTGACTGAAAAGGTTAGGGGAGTCTGTGAACCCTTGGGGTAAGACTATCCATTGATATTGTTGTTTCTACCCTGAATGGGGATCCTCCCACTCAAAAGTAAATATATCTTGCTTATCTTCAGCCAGGAGACATGCCCAAAAAGCATCCTTGAAATCTATTACAGTAAACCATTGATTATTATATGGAATCTTGCTGAGAATGGTGTAAGGATCGAGGACAATGGGGTGGGTAGTTTGGACTATTCGGTTAATAGCTCTAAGGTCCTGTACCAGCCGGTATGGCCCATCTGATTTCTTGACTGGCAATATTGAGGTGTTATAAGGGGACATAGAGGGCTCAAGAAGCCCATCTTTAATAAGACCTTCAATTATAGGTTTCAACCCTATCCTGCCCTCTAGGGGAATGGGGTATGGTTTCTTCCTTACTACTTCCCTGGGGATTTTTAGCCTGATGTGGTTGGAGGGACTCAGAGTTTCCCTCAGTTTCCTTCTTTGGATCAGACATTAGGATTAATATATTTTTCATCTGCAGTGGTGAGTAGCTTTAATGAAGTGAGGAATCCTCTTGGGCTGAGTTGCAGGCCTATGCCTAACTTCAACATTAAATCCCTCCCTAGTAAATTAGTCCCTGCTTCAGGGATTAACAAAAACTGAATATGAGCTGATTGAGCCTGGTATCTGACTTCTGTGTTTTCTAAAATTTTTGCTTTAAATCCTTCTCCCTTTACCCCACAAACCAAAAGTTCCTCTGAAGAGTAGGCAATATTAGATGGGGGGGAAACAAACAGAGGATCGAGCCACTCCTGAATTGACTAAAAAGGTTATAAACTCATGCTTAGGTCCCACTTCTAGACTTATCAAGGGCTCCTGGTGGGACTCAAGATAAAAGAGACAGAACCCCTGACCCCACTATTCTTCCTCAAAAGCCATGAGTGGAAGGACTTCTTTTTCATTTTCTAATTTGGGACATTCTCTCTTGAAGTGGCCTGTTCTTCCACATTTGTAGTGCCTACCTTGCCCTTCCCCACTCTCAGTTCTGGGATTCTTTGATTTTACTCCCCCATGCTATTTAGATGGCCTGGTAGACGAGAGCCTTGATCCTCCCAATGGAGGCTTGGGTCCTTTAAAGGAGGGTTTGGAACCTTTATAGTTTCTGGCCCACTGGAAGCTTTGTTTAGGGGTACATGGGTTTGGAGCCATCTGTTGGAAGGTGAATAACTTAAGTTTTGTCTTTTGTTTTTGCTTTTCTTCGTCTCTCTTTACAGATACGTTTTGAGTCTCTCTCAGAAGTTCACTTGAGGTCAGTTTTCCCAATCTTCTAATTTTTGTAACTTTTTTGAAATATCTGGACAATGTTGGCCAGGCGCAGCGGCTCATGCCTGTAATCCCAGCACTTTGAGAGGCCGAGGTGGGTGGATCACGAGGTCAGGAGATTGAGACCATCCTGGTTAACATGGAGAAACCCCGTCTCTACTAAAAATACAAAAAAATTGCTGGGCGTGGTGGTGGGCGTCTGTAGTTCCAGCGACTCAGGAGGCTAAGGCAGGAGAATGGAGTGAACCTGGGAGGTGGAGCTTGCAGTGAATCAAGATTGCACCATTGCACTCCAGCCTGGGTGACAGAGAGAGACTCCATCTCAAAAAAAATAAAAAGAAATATCTGGACAACTTTTAGTGACAAAATGGAGCTTTAACATTCCCTGTCCCAGGGGATTGTATATCAAATGCTTTAGAGAGATTTTGATTTTGGGGTACTGATTCCCTAGTTTCTTTCATTATCATTTCCCTTATGTCTTGCATGTTTTCTTGGTGAGCTGCGTTTTTATTATCCCACTGGGAATCTTGGGCAGGGAATTTTTGGTCTGTGGTAGGAACGTTTTGACAAGGAGGGTGTTCATATTCCCAAACTGCCATAGCAGCCCTACGGATCAGATCATGCTTCTTTCCTCCTCCGAAAAGAGGATGACTAGGATGGACATAAACTCGACCCAAGTGTATAACTGAGGTCCCAAGAATTGATCAACCTGATTTGCCACCTCATAAGGGTCATCTAACAGTGGCTTAATTTCCTTTTTCAAACTTCAGGCTTCTGAACTGGTTAAGGGAGCATTCACAAATACAATGGCTCCTCCTCCTTTTGGCATGTCTTTTAAGGGGAAGAGAGTTGGGGCTGACTTCTTAGGTGTGGAGAGAAAAGGGAAGTTCTGCATGTCCTTTTTACATTGCTGTACCTCATGCTGGAACCCCTTTAGGGAGAGGTATTTAGGTTGACAGGGGACAGGCTCATGGGATGATAACTCCCAAGAATTAGAGTTGTAAGGAGGAGGAACAGCTTGAGCAGGAGAAGGATCTGGGGTGGGATCTGGGGTGGCAGCAGCTGCCCGAGGGGAAGGGTCAGAGGCACTGAGCAGGGCAAAATGGTATAGGGGATCCCATGTGCTGGCTTTAGGTGTGGGAGTCCGCTCATCTGACTTTTCAATTTGAGATGCTGGATCGGGTTCTTCCCTAGTTGTCTTTAAGGGAATAAAGACAGGTCCCTGTCTCAAACAAAGAACATAATCTAGTTCTTCTTGAGAGACCAGATTTTTATCATTAACATATTGAATTAGAAGTTGACACATGACATCCTCATTCGACCCAAACTTTGGCCAGAAGATTGAGGGTTTGAAAATGGGACCTTGGGTCCAAATGAAACAGCAATATTTTATCCTCTAATGCTTTTTCTTATGTTTAGTCCTCTCATTATCCTTCCAATATTTTAACATGAGACCCAGAGGACTATCAGGGGACATGTATTTGTTACTATCCTCTTCTTTTTTGCGCCCTGTCTTACTTGGGGCTTTTCCCATGTTAGGTCCTGGTTAGGCTCAATCCCACATGCTAGAGATTTCTTCCCTATCCTTTAACGCCACCTGCTGGAGGCTCCTTGCACCCTTCTTTCACTTCATCCACTCTGGTTGCTTCCCTCCCAGGAATTTTAGGTCCCTCTTAGCATTGGCATCATGGTATAAACCCCACAGCAGGATCTGCCCTGAGCCCTATGAGGATACACTGAATTCCTCTTCAAAGGTTTTTTATTCAAATAAAAAACTGCAGGTAGAACCCACTCACTCCTCACAGCAATAATGCTTAGTATCATCAACACAAACAGCACCACAAGCAGTAGTGCTTGTGATCATTCACACACACTTTCAACCTCCAGAATATCCCGACCACCAAGGAAATACTTTGTCACCCTTGCGACATTTCTTACCTCGGTCTGTGCACAGTTACCTGGTCGCCACGGCATGTAAAGATCCTTTCCCCAAAGATGCTGGCCTGTTTCTTTCCACGTTGCTGAGAGCCCAGGTTTATTAATCGCACCAGTTGAGTCTTGATTCCTTACCTTTATGGCCACTGCAACGAGGCAGCGGGGTGCGCCTCCTCACGGGAGAGGACTGGACCCTCCCCCAGAGGAGAATGGGAATGCTGGGTGGGCCCCCAAATTTGTGGAAAATAAATTTTCAGTGCCGCAAAGAACAGTCAGCACTCCAGCAACAAGTTTTTACAGCAAGGCAAATTTACTTCTATGAAATAGTGGTCTTGCAGATGGAGCAATGGCAAGATCACACCGGACAAGGGAAGGGAAAGTGTTCTTATTCCTAACGCAGCTAGTCCCTACTGTTGTGTCTTTTCCCTATTGGATAGGGTTGGACTGCACACTCTTAGCTAATTCAGATGGGCTACTTCAAAGAGAGCAGGGGTATGAGCTGGAGTGGCAGGGTGAGTAGTTTCAGCTGGAAAGACAGTTACAGAGCAGGTGTCTAAGGATGACTAAGGACAGAGCAGGTGACTAAGAATGACTAAAGACAAAACAGGTGTTAGAGGCTAGAAGGGGGTTGTTTAATGAAACTAGGGGCAAGGAGGCATAACGAACGAGGAAGTTAAACTTTAAAACGGAGAACAAAGAACAGAGAATCTGAACATACTGACATATTTGCTCTTTGATGAGGAACTCAGAACTCGTTGTACTTAATCTTCCCCCTCTTGAATTTTAAAGGATTTTTACAGGCTAAAATCTCTGAAGAGGAACTCACTGTATGCTGTTCATCAGGTGTTCTTTCCACCAAGCTTTCAGCCATGTCAGGTGTTCTTTCCGCCAAGGGTGCAGCCTCATCAGGTGTTCCTTCACATGTTCCTTCTGCCAAACACACAGTCAGGTTAAATTTTCCTTCTGCTAAATATCATCCTTCTGACTCTTTACATGGAAAACTTCTACTCATTCAGCTTGCTTTCCTTAAATACTACCAAACTTTTGTTTTCTCCTTTTTTTTTTTTTTTTTTTGAGACAACAGCCTCGCTCTGTCACCCAGGCTAGAGTGCAGTGGCACGATCTCAGCAGATCACTGCAACCTCCGCCTCCTGGGTTCATGAAATTCTCTACCTCAGCCTCCCATGTAGCTGGGATTACATATGCATGCCACCCAGGCCCAGCTAATTTTTTGTATTTAGTAGAGATGGGATTTCACCATGTTAGTCAGGGTGGTCCCAAACTCCTGAGCTCAAGCAATCCACCCACCTTGGCCTTCCAAAGTGCTAGGATTACAGGAGTGAGCCACCGCTCCTGGACACTACCAAACTTTTTAAAGCTTTAATTCTTCACTTTGGATATAAAATGTCTGACACATACTGAATATGGTAATGACATAATAAGTGATAATTGTAAGCTCCCGAAGGGGTTCTGGCACAGAGTAAGCACTAAATAAAGTAGTAAATAATAAAAAAAGTCGATAATAACAAGAAAAATTCTTAGTACCTTAATAAAGTAGTAAATAATAAAAAATGACAATGATAATAACAAGAAAGATGCTTAGTACCTTAAAGATACCTGACAGTTATTTGTTAAGTGGACAAGTGGATAAACAAATAAAAAACATAGTTAGGAAGTTCTGTTGGAAAAATGCAGAAATTCAATAGAGACAGCTCTAATGTATTATGAGCACCTTAAAGACCCAGACTATGTGTATTCCATCTTGGTCTCCTGCAACTTGCAAAATCTAACTTATAGAAGTCCTTTGATAAATATGTAATAAATTAAAGATGTGTTCATATAGTTCATATTGTACAATGTATTGTGTCACATTTAGGTATCACAGTAGCACTTTTGTTATTGTGAAAATTTTTTCCACTTTTATTATTATTTGTTGAGCCTAGAGTTGAGCTAGTTGAATATTTATAATGATAATATTTTGGCTAGTAGGACGAGAGTAACTTGTTGTAACAAAATTACTATTAACACACTAATTATCCAGCAGATAGAACAACACATCTTGTTCTAATGAAGTAAATATATCTTATTTGGTTTCAACTTAGAGGGAATGAAGTTGGTAATAGTGAGAAATTGTTGGTACAAGACTATGTAACATAACCTGTGCTTCTGAACAAATAATTGCTTTTCTGACTTCTGCACTCATTAGGTATCTTTGAAAAATAATCTCCTATTGGTACTGATGCACCCTCGCTAAGTTATGTTAATTCTTATTGACATTCATTTATGGTGCAAGAAAAGTATTATTGAGTTCCAAATTCTAAAGATATTTAGTGACACAAGTCACTATGCCACACAGTTGATCTTTGAATAAGGGTTTTCACTCTAGGAGCCCACTAATAGACAGATTTTTCTTTTCCTTTGCCACTGCAAGATACCAAGACAAATCTCTCCTCTGCCTCCGCCTTATCAGCCTACTCAATATGAAGGCAATGAGAATGAAGTCCTTTATGTATAACAATTCACTTCCATCTAATAAATAGTGAATATATTTCTTCCTCTTTATAACAGTTTCTTTTCTCCAACTCACTTTATTCTAAGAATACAATATATAGTACATATAAAATAGAAACTATGGGTTAATTGACTGCTTATGCTTTCACCTTTTTTCAGGCTCCAGGTCAAGAATTAGTAGAGTTTTGGAGGAGTCAAAAGAAACAGATTTTCATATAAAGCAGATTTTCAGCTGCATGGGGGGATCAGCACCCTAACTCTCATGTTGCTCAAGACTCAACTGTAATTAATTCTAATTTTCTAAATGCAAATCATTTATTGTAAAAATTACATAAAGCCCAGAAGTTCAAGACCAGCCTGGGCAACATAAGGAGACCATGTCTCTACAATAAAGAAACAAACAAATAATTTATTTTTTTATTTAACAAATAAACACTTTATATGTTTGTTTATGTTTAATAAACAAACATAAATACTTGTTTATTTAACAGTTTAACTGTGTTCCTTTATAGGTTATAATATTCAAATGTTGCAGTTTTCTCTTATTAATTCCTACTTTTCATTATTAGATGTACTGTTATTTGTGGCTTGTAATTCAAGGCATCTAAGCTAGTTTATAATTTGTAATGAAGTTTATTTATAAATATATTAGTTCATTAAATTGGATAAGCTGATAAACCCCTATTACTGAACTCATCAATCACACCAAGGATTATACATTTTATAACAAGCATAAATTGTTATGACAGTTAAGGAAACATACAATATATAAACTTAAAAATTGTTTTACTTATTTATACAAAAGTATTATATAGGATATTAGGGACCACAATTAAACAAATATTTTTTCAGATAATATTTTTGAGATTATAAACCACCTACAACTAAATTCTTAATGAATTCTGAATTATAAACTAAAAAATTAAATCAAAGCTCTGTATATATAAAAACACTTACGTATAGGTATATATGTAAACACATGCTACTTACACGTTGCTTTTTTAATAGCTCTTTTGTGATCAACACTCCTATAATCTCATGGTAGCACCACCAAGTGTAGTTTACTATCAGAGGTCTTACCTGGATTGCTATTTTGAGAATTTTTAGATATCTTTTGTTTATATTCCAAAAGTTGTTGATCAATGCTATGTATAAAAATGAAATAAATAAAATTACTATTTTAACATTGATATAAAAAACATTTACCAAATTTGTTAAGTTCTTAGAGTATTTCAGACAATATTAGAGCTAACATCAGAACATTACTTTTTCCATAGACTTTAAGTTTGTAAGCTCTATGAACTTATTAAGCTTCTAATTAAAGAAGAAAGTAAGATAAAACACTCATGAAGTGAGGGCAGTATAACTCAGCAAATTAACTAGAGGTAGCTTGACATATGGAAAATGTCCTTAACTCAGAATAAATCCTAGCATGGCTACCAACAGGTATTTTTTCTTGAACAAGTTGCTTCCTTAGACTCAATGTCTTCTAACAATGAGGATTTTAGGGCCTTATTTCACTATGTTATTATAAAGATTTAACAAGATAACATTTTTAAAATGCTTAAAATAAAAAGTGAAGCAAAAAAATAATTTGTTCTTCAACCTTATTGCTGAAACTATTTTAAAATTCCCAATAAAACCCAATATATTGGCCTGGTGCAGTGGCTCATGCTTGTGATGCAAGCACTTTGGGATGCTGAGACAGGAGGATTGCTTGAGTCCAGAAGTTCAAGACCAGCGTGGACAACATAGGGAGACCACGTCTTTACAAAAATTAAATTACAAAGAAAAAAACACAAATGTGTTTCTTCATAGGTTATAATATTCAAATATTGCAATTTTCTGTTATTAATTCCTACTTTTGGATATTAGATTTTCTGTTCTTTGTGGCTTGTAATTCAGAGCATCTAAGCTATTTTATATTTTGTAATGAAATTTATTTATAAATATATTAAATCATTAAATCAGATGACCTAATTATACTCTATTACTGAGCTCCTCAGTCACACCAAGGGCAGAAAATAATAGATGTCAGCATCTGGCTTGGACTACTGCTACTCTTTATCTACCTCCTTAAACTCTGAACCAACAAATCTTTGTTAGAATGATGCTTAGTCACTATGTTCATTTCCAGCTGCTGTGGAAGACAAAACCCTACCTTTATTTTCTGTAAGTTCCACAAAGAAGATGCAAGTTGGTATTTTCTTATTTCTGAGATCCCTACTAACAAAATATTGCACACAAGATCCTATGTGTTACCACATCTCATTTCATAGATCACCTTACGTAAATAATTTTTTGTATGAAAATCACAATTGCAATACTGAGCTTCACCCATTTTGCTTTGACTCACACCATTTCCTTGGAGCTAGTTAGAAAGTAGTAAAATGTCCTTTTGGGGACTGCAAGAAATATGCAACACTTTACAGATTCTATGTCATCCTTGTGTGGGGACCATGCTGATCTTCTCAACGTTGTTTCAATTTTACTATATGTACCACTGAAGCCAGCACAAATCCTTACTTTTATATGTGAAGACTGATCAGTGATGGATGAGGCTTAGCTCTGTTAAATCTAACCAACTTACTTGAGATTTAATAAAGTCTATTGTATGGCTTCATGGTGATGCAGCATTTGAAAATATTTTAAAAACTCGAGGTAGAGATGTAAGTAGCATGGGAGATTTTTACTTTTAGGAAAAAAGAATCACTTGAGGGGACAACCACAAGTTGGAACCCACTACAACTTGGGAAAGATGACATGGGATTTTACAGAATAAGGTGAGACCTTCCACTACCTACAAAATGGTGCTACACAGGATATAAAGGGCCAGGGATATAGATCTGTTAACAAAGACAAAATGGATCTCTAATTTCTTCCTGTAACAATATTTCAACCTGACTTACAGTTTCAAACTACCACAACTAATATTGGGTAGAGAAAATAGAAAAAGTCACTCAAAGGATAAGTTACCATGAAGGTCTAGGCCATGTCCAGGTTAAGATGTGGGTTTCACATCAGGTTTTGAGTGTGAGGAGAAGGGTCAATTTGCTCACTATTTGTGTGGCTAAAGCTAAAAGTTCTAGCTGCCAGAGTGGGGTGCTGATACTTTGGTAACAATGGCTGAGAATATGTACATGAACTTTAAAAACATGTAGTAACTTCAAAGTCTACACCATGAAGACTGAGGGATCTGTGTTAATAAGGGCATCCTGGTCACAAAGGTCAATCATTACCAGACTGCAGGAGCAGTTTCAATGGCAAAGATGCAGCAACAGAATCAATGGAAACAACAAAATGAAGAGAATAGCCATTCCCCCACCCCCTCCCAGTCCTTCTGACTTGCACAGAAGGAATGTCTTCCTTGGACTTAGGGTCAGATTCTTTTAAAAAATTCAAGAATGAAGGTATGGAAGACAGCCCCCTGGGGACACTATCAGGTTTTCTGCTTAAAGTGGACATTTTGAGACCCAAATAACTAATTAGAAAAGCTAAAATCGTGACATTATGTTTATCCCATGCATAGGGGTCATACTTCAAATCAAGTAGACAACATTAGCGTCCCTAAAGCCCTAAAATAAAGAATCCTGGAGCCATTACTCCTTCTAAATAGTCTAGCTTTTTGCCTGGTTTCTGGCTGATGAAGTGAACTAACTCAGTGTCATTCATAAACTACCTGAAACAAACTATAAAATCTCACCTAGCCTTTAAATGTAAACACTTACGGATTAAATCCACAAGCAACAGCATAACGTTCTGCAATCATTCCACACGTATCTTCAGCACAGATGTCAACATTTTCCTGAAGAACCATGCCAACTATCTCTGATGATCCATGACACATGGCAAGCATGAGGGCTGTGCTAAAATAACAAAGAGATAACTTCATTATTAGGAACAGAACCAATTTAATATGTGCCTGTCAGTGTAGAATTAACCATTTACATGTATTAACAAACGTTAAGTATCTTGAGTGCTCAAGTGTTTATCCTTGTAAATCACGACCAAGGCTAAAAGGAAGGGGCAAAAAGACTCATGTCTCACTGGGATATGCCATAGTAGAATTGGCTAACATAAAGTCCACTGAGGGGCAAGAAAATATGTTCTGTTCACTAATCTAAAAGAGGCAAAGTTTTAAGTGAAGAATTATCTATTTTCTCCTTAGTTTTATATAATATTTTGTACTTCAAAATTAGCTAGAAGTCGGACAAGTGAGAGCAATCTGAAGACTTAAAACAATATTAGGAATAATATTGTCCTGAGTAGCTGGGACTATAGGCATGTGCCACCATGCTTGGCTAATATTTATATTTTTCATAGAGATGGGGTTTTACCATGTTGGCTAGGCTGGTCTCAAACTCCTGGCATCAGCTGATCTACCCACTTGGCCTCCCAAAGTGCTGGGATAACAGATGACAGCTACCATGCCCAGCAAATATTGCATTTTTTAAAAGCACATGAAAAACAGAAGTTAGAAAAATACTATAAAGGTGTTAATCATTCAATATTGAATTATAAAGTAAACTAAAAATTCTTAAAACTAATACAGAACCACTTTAGCTAATAGAAGATAATGCAACCAAAAACATCAGATTACAAATAAGAATCAGTCAATACAATAAAAGAAGAAAATCCTATTATATACTGTTCTTTATGTTGACCAGTCCAAATAATTGCTTTTCTTCCTAACTGATAATTTGTGTTGGTATTTTTCTGTATAATCTAATAATTTTAAGTAAATATTATTAATTTAATATTTCTGACTTGATTGTTATTACTCTAGCACACTACTCAAGTGTTTTTTAATAAAAAAACTACTATACCATTTAAACTTATCAACTGCATTTGCATTTGCATTTTTTGTCAGTAAAAATTCCACAATTTGCTCACTTCTTTTCCTCATGACCAGTAAAAGCGGTGTGTGGCCAGTCTGTAAAACAGCAAAAACAATTTATAATTCATGAAATTACATATTTCTCAGCTGAACTGAATACCTTATATAATATCTTATGAACATAAACAATAGAAAGTAAATCAATAGCAATCCCTTCTTTCTCACTTTTCTGTGCTTTCCCATGCACTGCACCTTCTCTTGTAAACATTCAGCCTCTGCGTCACCACATTAACTCTGGTTATCTCCAAAAATCATTATATTGTAATGATTTTATTGTTTCCCATTTAAACCAAGAGCTTCTTGAGGGCAAGGGCTGTATCTTTTACCTCTATATCCTTAAACCCTAAGACATAGTAGTAAATACTTTGTTTTTTATTAAATTAGTAATCTAAATTATTACCTCTGGAACAATGTTTCTTCAACTATATTCCAAAGAATAATTACCTTACCAGAAGCACTGTACCCCAACAGATTCCACCATTATCTATGTTCAAGAAAAGTTATAAAACTGTGAATTAAATGTTCATTATTCAATAAATGAATTGAACTTTACCTAATCCTTATTTGACAGTATATTTTTGTGGCAAACATTAACATTTGACAAATTAGAATTTTAGGGATGCAGTTTTGAAAGCTTCCCCCCAAAAAGGGAGGTTTCCTCTGGGTGATACAAACTTACTTGATTCTCTTCTATCAATAATCCCAAGATTCCAGATGCCAATGTCAGGCACTCCTGCTCTAAATGGGTCACTAAGGAAGTGGCTCTAAATTAAAAGAGATTGGCTTCAAATAAACTTTGATTGCTTATTATTAAATCATCCATGAGGTTTATCCTATTACCAGACAATAGGATTTTATCTCAGTTATTAGAAATTCAGTATAAAAGGCCAGGCAAGGTGGTTCATGCCTGTAATCCCAGCACTTTGGGAGGCCAAGGTGGGCAGATCAAAAGGTCAGGAGATCGAGACCATCCTGGTCAACATGGTGAAACCCCATCTCTGCTAAAAATACAAAAAATTTAGCTGGGCATGGTGGCACATGCCTGCGTCCCAGCTACTCAGGAGGCTGAGGCAGGACAATCGCTTGAACCAGGGAGGCAGAGGTTTCAGTAAGCCAAGATCACACCACTGCACTCCAGCCTGGTGACAGAGCGAGGCTCCGTCTCAAAAAAAAAAAAAAAAAGAAAAAAAGAAAGGCAATTCAGTATAAAAGTTTATTCTCAATTATAATGATACTCCTAGGATCCTAATGCATATCCACTTCTTAAAATGCAATAATCCATTTTTATTCTGGTTTCTATTGTAATTGATACTATTTTTTGGCAAAATATCAGAAGTATGAATAAAATGGCTTATTAATGAAAGTTCTAACTCACGTATATGGATTAGCAAAATAGAAGTCGCTAAATCACTTGAATTTTAAGGGACAAGTCTGTGGAGAAAGATATAATATTTTCTGCAATTTGCATAACCCATTCAAATATAAACATGATTAATCTAAAAAGGCTTAAAGGCCTTCTAATAGAAGATGATTATTTATGGTTTATATGAAGAAAAATCATCATTTAAAAAATATTCTAAATTCTAGAAGACAACCCCATTATTAATGAATTAATGTAAAATATAAACTATATATTATAAACACCTATAAACTGTCTTCAATAACTTGAAATCTTTACCAAAATATACTACAAGAGAAGAATTGATAACTGAAATATTTACAGAGGCAAAAGAGGTAAGTTGAATAAGTGATGTAACTAGGTGGGCACAGTAGCAAACTGGAAACATATGTTTTATGTAAAGCTAGAATGTCTTCATAGCATACCAAACAGTCATATGGGCTCAAGAAACACCAGATTCAATCCTTTAAGAGGAAATCCAGATTTCTTCATGTCTCCTAAATTTTACTTTCCTGTAGTTTTATACTAATTGGAAAGAAAAAAAAAACTTGGGTGGGAAAGAATATTTGAAAAATTTTACCTTTAACAAACTCAAATATTTATCATAATGCACAGAAAAACCATACTAATAGTTCTTGTAAAAATATTAATATTTAAAGCAAAATCCTAGACAATTAAGTTTGGTCAAACTATTTTCATAGGAAAATAAGAATGTTTGAGCTTCCAAATATAAAACAATTTACATATGTTAATGTTAAAACAAATGGATTTCAAATATTTTGAAAATAACATTGGTTAACGTCTACCTTGTTCTTCACTTCGATGTCTGCACCACAGGACAGCAATTTTGCCACCACTGACAAATTCTCACCTTATAAGAGCATAATGAACAGCTGTGTTGCCATACACATCTACAATATTTGGATCAGCACCAGAATCTATGAGAATATTTGCACAAACCTCCCTCTGGCATTGCACAGCCTGTCAGTATTAAAGCAAGAAGTAAATTATAAATTATAGGAAATATAAATAAATATTCCACAGGTTTCACAAACTAGCTATATTTCAATGAGATACATTCATTTTTATTCTATGTATTTAAACCAAATCCATCTCCTGCTGAAAGAACTGGCTACCATTTACCTTCATCAGAGTTGTCCTGTTTTCGCCATCAAGGATGTCAAGCTGGCACTTTCTATCTACCAGAAGTGTTACTACTTCTGCACGGCCATTGGCGCAGGCCCAGTGTAGAGCAGTCCTACGAAAGTGAGAGGACTTTTTAGGAAAGTTTAGTCCACTGTCTCAAAGCATATAATGATTTATGTAATTGTCAACATTAAATACCATGCTCTTTCTCTGCCTTCAAAACAAATATTTAATATTCTCCTGAAGAAAGAACAACATTCATTCACTCTTATTACTCACTACATTAGTGAAAGAGTGGCCTATTTGAATAGAAAGAGCTTGGCCTTTGGATTCAGTTCACTTGGGCTTGAATATTACTTTAAAGTCTTTCACCTTCTAGCTATCACCTAACCTTTCTGTGCCTCAAGTTTCTCATCAATAAAGTGAAGATGAATACAGCAGTTTTCTCACAGGACATCACTGTGATGCCTCATGAGAATCTGTGCAATATATTTCAAAGAATTCCTAGCACATGTAACAGCTCAGTAATTGTTAGATATTGTAATTATTTCTACTACTTAACAAAGAAAACATTTTAAGTTAAATGGTACAGTTATGCCTACTTTGTGGTATGTTTTAAAGGTTAGAGATAAAACTGTATTTTAATAATTCTAAGATACTCTATTTCTCATATTTTAACATCTCTGACATTGAAATGCCACTTATAAGTCATTATTTATTACAAGTATATTTTGCAGAAATTTAAACAATCTTTTATTGGTACATAAATAAGGAGGCATCACACAACTCATGATGCCTTCCATGAAGTGGAATACGGTATATACAACAGGATGATGGCAGTCCTAATCATAGGATTAACACTTAAAGAAATTTTAGCTTTTAAGAGTGCTACACAAAAGGAGAGTTGAAATAAAAACAAACTGTTATAACAAAGTACTTCTTTAATATTTTTAAAACTTCAAGCCAAAGAAAACTTGGGATTCAAGTAGGTATGGCTCATTTTATTCCATATTTAGATTTACAGAATGTATGTAAATTCATATTTAAATTTATAGACTGCATGTAAATTAGGTATTTCTAATGATTAATATTACTATTTAAAGCTGTTATAAATTTCCAAAATCGTGGTTGGTAGTTATCTTTTACTAGTTTCTCACTTCAGAAGAGTTTTTGTTTTAAAGATGAGAGGAAAAGCTTCAATTGAGATTCAGTCCTAATACTCCAACTTTAAACCTCTCACTTTGCTAAGGCCGAGCAGGTAAATGTGAAATTTTTAAGGATGAAAGGATCTTGAGAGTTAATGTATCTTCTACATAATAGGCATTCAGCTTACATGTGATAAATTGATTAAAAGGATAAATACAGTTGAGAAGTTCAATACCTTAAAAAAACTGCTATAAATCACTTATATTTTCTATTTTATTTTCTTAATAATAAAACTACACTAATTAATCTATAATTATTGACATATATGTAATAAATCTATATATAATAAAAATATGTGCCTAATAAGATGTATATGTAAATCAACAAGCACAGGTAAAAAGATTGTCTTTTGAAGATGCTAAAAGTTCACATAATATACTAATCCACAAAAAATAATAACTAAAATATGGGAAGAGAGAAATTATTTTTATTGGTGCAAAATTATATTCCTGCTCTTCCTAAAAATTATTCCATTAATAATAAACTTTTTCTAATAGCATTGTACATGCTCAATGAGGAAATCAAAGATGATAAAAAGGAAAAACATTTAAATTAAAACAAATGCCCTCAAATAACAAATTTTATCGTATTTCATACACAATTTCAGATAACACAAGACTGTAGTCTGTGTGTATGTATAATCAAACTGAACTTTACCCTCACTTGATACACCAAAATACACTTTCAAATGTCACCTACTTCTCTACATATTTCTACCTTCAGTGGTCACATATTATCCCATGCTGTAAATTCACTGAAATGTATTTATAAAAGCCATTATATGGATTCTTCTTAATAATATGGTACTTACCACCAAATTGTCTATTTGAAAAGTTATCTGCAACTTAAACTTTAAACAGCAGTATAAATATCACTGCTCTTCATCCTCACAAACTTTGTAGATAGAAAACAGTATTTGATTCCTCTTTTAATTTAAATACCTTCTCTAACCAGGAACACTAAATATTGTTTTCTGTGTGCATAGGTCACTTACAGATCTTAAGAAAATACTTTGCCCAATTTTAAATTAGAAGCAAAGTACTATTTTTAGATCTGCAATTTAGATCTCTAATTTAAATTGCTCAATTTTAAATTAGAGGATTTTTTGTTGATTTAAGTGAATTATCTATAAAATGACGATTTTTAAATCTAATATGTATACACAGAAACACATACATGTGTAGTAAACATTTTACAAGTATGCTGCCTTTTATTTTTTCTCATTATAGGTTAATTTAATTTTGCTTTGCTTAATTATCCTTCAGACTGCTTGCTTCTGAGCTTCTTAGAGAGGTGTTGTCAACATAAAAATGTACCTGTGTAAATAGGCATTTATGTTTTCTTCTGGTGCTTTTATCATTTTGTATATTAAAAAATTTAATCTATATTCCGTCAGAAATTTACTTTGTGGTATAAAAATCTAGTTTTCTCCAAAAAGCAGGCATTTCGCTTATGAAACTAATTCTTTCCCTACTAGTATAAAGTTCTAAATTCTTAGATATTTGGGTGTTTCTGGATTTTCTATTCTGTGTATTCATTTACCTGTCTTTTCAGCTGTTATCAAAGAATTTGTGATTTGTTTATTTATTTTTGAAACAGAGTCTCACTCTGTCGCCCAGGCTGGAATGCAGTGATGGGATCTCAGCTCACTGCAACCTCCACCTCCCAGTTTCAAGGGATTCTCCCACCTCAGTCTCCCGAGTAGATGGGATTACAGGCTCCCGACCTCGTGCCTGGTTAATTTTTGTATTTTCGTAGAGTCGGGGTTTCACCATATTGGCCAGGCTAGTCTTGAACTCCTGACCTCAGGTGATCCACCCGCTTCGGCCGCCCGAAGTGCTGGGACTACAGGCATGAGCCACCACGCCTGGCCCTTTTTTTTTTTTTTTTCAAATTTTATTTATTTATTTATTATGATTATTTTGAGACAGAGTCTTGCTCTGTCACCCAGGCTGGAGTGCAGTGGTGCGATCTCGGGTCACTCCAAGCTCCGCCTCCCAGGTTCACACCATTCTCCTGCCTCAGCCTCCCGAGGAGCTGGGACTACAGGCGCCCACCACCACACCCGGCTAATTTTTTGCATTTTTAGTAGAGACTGTGTTAGCCAGGATAGTCTCGATCTCCTGACTTCGTGATCCACCCACCTCGGCCTCCCAAAGTGCTGGGATTACAGGTATGATCCACCTTGCCTGGCCGTGGCGCATTTTGTGCAAATTAATAGCACAGTTTGAAATCTAGAAGGGCAAGACTTTTCTACTCTGTTACAAAATTTTTTAAATGTCATCACAATAGTAAAAGACAGTGTGTGTAATTTTAAAAATGTTAAAACGTTGATAACTTTATTTGGTTTATGTAAAACTGATAAAGAGCTTGCATCTTGAGAAAAATGAGTCTTCTTAAATTCGAAAACACAAACCATCTTCCCACCTCAAAGTTACCTTCTAAGGTCCCTCAGCAAAGAACATATTTACATAGGCATTCATTGATATTGAAATGGATACTGGACTTTATCCAAAAAACTTTTAGCCAAGAAGCTAATGTATTATGGGAATTATTTCATTACGCACCATTTCATAATGTATCTAACATTATCTTCTAAAACCTGTACATTAAAAGTAAAACCCTGTATGTACTTAATTTTGTAAGTTAAATCACTTTAAAATTCTCTACACAGTGCTCTGTGAGAGGAAATGGGAGTGAAGGAGAAAGCAGCTAACTAAAGTTTGGGGTTGATTTTAAGGTGGCCTGGGCCCTCCGCCCTGTCAAGGCCTGGAGGGCCTGCTCGGGAACAAGGCCAAGACCTCGGGGCCCGGGACGGCCACCCCGCTGCCCACCACTCCTCCACCTGCTCCCCTCGTCCCTAGGACCCCTAGCCCCCACTCTGAAGGGGCGATCCTCCCACAGCCGCCTCCTCCTCCTGCAGCCCCGGCTCAGGCACTGTCTGGTACCTCTTCTTCGCATCTCTTATGTTCAGGTCCATTGTCGTTTTCTTCATCATCCTCTCCAGCTTCCAGGCTTGGCCCCGGGAGGCAGCTTTGTGGATCTTCCTGAGATCCCCGTGGTGAATCACGTAAGAGTCATTGTTGGTGTAGACCAGCTGACTGAAGGGGCTCGGGCACTCCAGGCCCGTCTGGCCCTTGACAGCGGCGGCAGAGAGCCTCTCCATGGCTGCAGCCACCTGCTAGAGAGCGCCCGCACCTCCCGCTACTCGCCCTTCCCCAGTCCCCGCCGCTCGCCCTCGCCCTTCTTCAGTCCCCGCACCCGCCCTGACACCAGTAGAAATCTCAGTCGGGCCAAGCTTTTGGACACTCCAGCCTCTCCTGGGAGAAAAGGGCTGCGCAAAACCATTAGGCAGCTGAGCAGAACCGTTAGGCAGCTGAGCAGAACCTTTAGGCAGCTGAGCAGAACCCTTAGGAAACAGCACATGCGCAACTCAGCAGACTGGGGAGACACGCCAGGCGGGAAACTGCCCTGGCTGCGCTTCGCCCAGCACCACCTGCAGGTGGCACCTGCCACTGAGGCGCTGTCGGGCTGGCGGGGCTCCCTGGAGCGGAAAGTGGGGGACCCCCTGCCACACGGCCTGCTTGACAGAGCCGCCCCTGGCCCCTCTTCAACCTGAGATCCAGGAGCTGGGCCCTGGAGCTGGGCATCCTGCAGCCTCTGGGGTGGCGCTGAGCATCGGTTCCCGCCCTCCTGCAGCCAAGGACCCAACCCCTGACTTAGGCGCCCTGGAGGCTTCTGGCCCAAGTATCCACGCTGCTGGTGGCGCTGGCAGGGTCGGGGTTGCAGCCTCTGCTGCCACGTGCCATGTTCAGGTGGCAGCTGCAGCTGAGCCCATGGTAGAGGCTACAGGGCTGGGCCCAGACCACTGAGCATTGCCGAGTACATCGCCCTTCCACCCGGGGCTCTGCTCTTCCTCGGCTCGCGCTGGCAGCGCAGGCTCGCCACCACTGGGCCCTGTACAGCTGCAGCGATGAGGCTTTGCGGCAGGTTCCCACCCTCCTGCAACTGAGGTCCCACTGCCTGACTTAGGCGCAGTGGCCGTGTCCGACCCTGGGGTTCGCCTGCTGGTGGCGTGGGCAGGTTCTGGTGTTGCCACCGCTGCTGCCACCTTCAAATGCCAGCTGCAGCTGATCCCATGGTAGAAGCTGCAGGGCTGGGCCCGACGGCCTGAAGGTCGCCGTGTGGCACACGCCCCCCCACTCTAGGCCCTGCTCTTCCTTGGCTCGCACCCTGAGCGCTGGTTTGCAGACTCTGGGGACTGTGCAGTCGCCAGTATGGGGCTGAGTGGCAGGTTCAGAGCTGCCTGGGCCCAGAGGGGAAGAGGAGAGTTTGGGGTTGCTTCGCCATATTTGCCTGTGTGCCAAGTGCAGGTAGTGGCTACTGTTCTGACAGGCACGGATGGCGGATCCAATTTAGAGGGCTTCAAGGTTGCTGAGAGCGCCAGCTGCCAGGCCTCAGGATCCCTTCCTCGTTGACCAGCATCTGGAGTATGGCGGTGGCGCTGGGTAATCTGCAGCCATCCTGGATGGGGCTGAGCTGCAGTTCTCCCCCTTGGACTGAGAGGTAAACTTGGCTGAGTAGAGCAGATGGAGAAACAGTTAAATTGAACTTATCTATAAAGACTTCCAGGCTGGGTGCAGGACCTCATGCCTGTACTTACAGCACTTTGGGAGACCGAGATAGGAGGATCATTTGATCCCAGGAGTTTGAGACCAGCTTAGACAACACAGGGAAACTTCATCTCTATAAAAATAAAACCAATCAGCCAGGCATGGTGGTGCATGCCTGTGGCCCCAGCTACTTGGGAGATTGATTGTGGGAGGATCACTTGGACCCGGGAGATCGTGGGTACAGTAAATTGATTGTGCCACAAACAAGGAATGAGAGGTCCTGTTGCTCCACATCCTTGACAGCATTTGACTTTTTCAGTCTTCTGGATTTTGGTTATTGTTTGATTGTTTGTGCCGCTACACTCCAAGCCTGGGCAACAGAGACTCTCTCTCTCAAAATAAATAAATAAAAGACTTCTAGTCACTATATCATATCTATGTGGAATTCTTTACACATCAAGCTTGAAGAGTTAAAACCCACAGCGCCCTCTGGTTATGTGATAGGGACCATGTGATTAAAGTGGGTGACCATGTTCTTGCCTCCAGGGGGCCCAAGTCAAGGGATGGGTCCCCAGCTGCAGGAGAGTGGAAATGGATGCTCAGCACCACCCCAGAGGCTACACAATGCCCAGCCCCAGGCCCCAACTGCTGGATCCCGGGTCATGAACAAAAACCCAAGAATTGAAGACTTGAGTGTTAGATATGCTCATTTCTTCTGGGATATCATTGGTTCTGGACCGTCTTAGCTTACAAAGCAAAGAAATAAATGTGCATATACAAAGCTGTGTATAGACATAACTATAAATATTTCTAAATGTAATGTGTGTAAGTGTTAGTTCATACTGATGTCTAAGACTCAATTCTTTTATCACATGATCATTCTGGTCTTCTCCCCTTGCTTACATGTAAGCTCCCACTTTAATAGTGAGAAAGCAGGCTCCTGTCATTTGTCATCATTTGCTTAACTGTCTAGTTCCAATATACATTTATTCTCTATCAATATCAGAATCGCTATCCCATTTCCTTTAGGAAACAGCTATACCAACCAGATCACATGAGTTGTTTGCAGTTTCTCTTCCTTTCAGTCTTCATGCATTTTCTTTGTTTCTTTTCTCTTTTTTTTTTTTTTTTTTTTTTTGAGATGGAGTTTTGCTCTTCTTGCCCAGGCTGAGGCAGGAGTGCAGTGGCGTGATCTCGGCTCACTGCAACTTCTACCTCCCAGGTTCAAGCGATTCTCCTGCCTCAGCCTCCTGCGTAGCTGGGATTACAGGCACCTGCCATCATGTCCAGATAATTTTTGTCTTTTTAGTAGAGACGGGGTTTCACCATTTTGGCCAGGCTGATCTCAAACTCCCAGCCTCAGGTGATCCGCCACCTTGGCCTCCTAAAGTGCTGAGATTACAGGTGTGAGCCACCACGGAAGGCCCATCCATTTTCTAAGATGTTTATGTCAGCACGTTTTTCCCACTCCCTAGAGTGAAGTGGCTTTATACATTTGTAGTACTTTAGATTTTTTATCACATTCTGCATTCCATCCCAGGATCCCCAGAACACCTACTTTGTTGTTGTTGTTGCTGTTGTTTTAAAATTTGCATACATATAAGTGACACTCTTTGTGCTGTGAGATTCTTTGTTTTTTAAAAGATGCAGGCCGGGTGCAGTGGCTTACACCTGTAATCCCAGCACTTTGGGAGGCCAAGGCGGGCAGATCACGAGGTCAGGAGACAGAGACCATCCTGGCTACACGGTGAAACCCCGTCTCTACTAAAAATACAAAAACAAAATTAGCCGGGCGTGGTGGCAGGCACCTGTAGTCCCAGCTACTCGGGAGGCTGAGGTGGGAGAATGGCGTGAACCTGGGTTGCGGAGCTTGCAGTGAGCCGAGATCGTGCCAGTGCACTCCAGCCTGGGCGACAGAGCAGACTCCATCTCAAAAAACAAAACAAAACAAAACAAAAAAAAAAACAAACGCAAATGCATACTCTCATGTTTCCACAGTTGTGGTATCATACAGAATACTTTGACTGGTCCAAATAACGCCCACGGGCTTCACTTATTAAACCTCCTCAATGAATCTTTTGCCAGATCATTTACTTTTTTAGGAAGTAATATTCCCTTATATGACGTATCACAGTGGTTTTTTTTTTTTTTTCCAGTCATCAATTATGAGACCTCTTGGTTTCTTCCAGTTTCAGGAATTATAAACAAACTGCTATATATATATTCATGTGCCAGTTTGGGTGTGGACATAGTTTTCAAATAAAGTGGATAAACACCTAAAAACACATTTGCAGCCAGACGTGGTGGCTCACGCCTGTAATCCTAGCACTTTGGGAGGCTGAGGCGGTTGCATTGCCTGAGCTCAGGAGTTGGACACCAGCCTGGGCCACATGGTAAAATTTCCCAAATCAACAAGTTATACTGTCTCTAGTAAAAGACAAAAAAAAAAAATTAGCCGGGCATGGTGGTAGGTGCCTGTAGTCCCAGCTACTCTGGAGGCGGAGGCAGGAGAATTGTTTGAACCCAGGAGGTGGAGGTTGCAGTATCCTTCTATTGCACCACTGCACTCCAGCCTGGGTGACAGAGCAAGATTCTATCTCAAAACAAACAAAAAAAACACAATTGCTATATTATATGTAAGACCTTTTTTTTTTTTTTTTACATATAGTATAGCAACTATGGGCATAAGAAATTGCCCATCTGTCTTCCAAAGTGGTGGTTTCATTTTGCAAGTGGTGAAAGAAAAAAAACAAAAAAAATTCTTCTTGCTCCTGGTTTTTGGGAAAAAGCATCCCACTTCTCATCATTAAGTATGATAGTTTTAGGGGTTTTGTAGATGTTCTTTGTCAAGTTAAGAAAATTCACCTCAATTCCTAGTTTTCTGAGAGTTTCTCAAATTATAGATGGGTGATAGATTTTGCCATAAGCTTTTTCTACATCAGTTGATACAGTCACATGATTTTTCTTCCTGCAGATTTAGGAAATTCTGCAGATAATTTTCTAATATTGAATCAGTCTTGCATACAGTCTTACCTAGAATAAATACATAGTTAGATTCAATTGTCTAGTATTTTGTGAAGGATTATTGGATCTTTGTTTATGAGAGATATTGATATATTGATTTTATTTCATGTTATGTCTATAGGATTTAGTAAGGGTAATATTTACCTCATAGAATAAGTTAGGAAGTGTTATCTCTAATTCCATTTTCTTGAAAAGTCTGTGGAAAATGGGTATAATTTCTCCTTTAAATGCTTGATAGAATTCACCACTAAAGCCATTTGGGCCTGGAACCATTGTTGGGGGGGGGGTTATTAACTATTTATTTAATTCCTTTTATAGATATAAAAGTACTCATGTTATCTATTTTTTCTTTTGTGAGTATTGGCATATTGTGTCTTTCAAGGTATTTGTCCATTTTATATAGGTTATTGAACTTGTGAGTATAGAGTTTTTAATATAGTAAATATATTATCCTTTTAATGTCCACAAAATCAGTAGTCATAACCCATACCCCTCTTTCACTTCCAATATTTGTAAGTTGTGCATTCTCTCTTTTTTTCTTTGTTACTTTGTCTAAATGTTAGCAAGTTTATGGATCTTTTCAAAGAAACAGCTTTCTATTTCATTGATTTTCTCTATTGTTTTCCTGTTTTCTATTTTACTGATATCTGCTATACTTTATATATTTTTTCCCTTGTTACTTACTTTGGATTTTCTTTTTCTAGTTTCTTAAGGCAGAAGCTTAAGTTATTGATTTTATCTCTTTTTTCATAATAATATATATTTAATGCTATAAATTTAGGTACTAGTTCTACTGTATCTCATATATTTTAGTAAGTTGTGATTCCATTTCCATTTAATTCCAAATATTTTAATTACTCTTTAGTCTTCTTTTGGGATGCACTTAGATGTTTTGTTAAGTCTTCAAATATTTGAAAAATTTTTCAGTTCTTCCTGTTATTTATTTCTACTTTAATTTTTATTGTGGTCTGAGTGTGTACTTTGTATGAACTTTATTCTTTGAAAAATTTTAAGACGTTTATGGCCCATAATGCAGTCTGTCTTGTACAAACTAGAGAAGAATGTGTATTCTACTTTTGTTGAAGTAGAATATAAACATTAATTATATTCATTTATTTTTATTTCATTTTATTTTATTTTGAGATAGAGCCTCACTCTGTCACCCAGGCTGGAGTGCAGTGGTGGTCTTGGCACACTGCAACCTCCACATCCCAGGTTAAAGTGATCCTCCCACCTCAGCCCAGAGTAGCTGGGATTACAGATGTGTGCCACAACACCCAGCTAACTTTGATATTTTTAATAGAGACGGTGTTTCATCATGTTGGTCAGGCTGGCCTCAGGTGGTCCACCCACCTTGTCATCCCAAAGTGCTGGGATTACTGGCATGAGCCACTGTGCCTGGCCTGCCTCCTCTTATTTTAATTGAGCATCTTCTATGATTGCATTTTTGTCTCAGCTCTTGGTGTATCTCATCACCTCATGAGATGTGATCTCATCACTTCTTTTAAAAACTTGTGGTGGTTTTTTTAGAATTGATTATATGCATTTTAAGTCTATCTTTAAATTAATTAGAATTGATTATATACAGTTTAGGTCTATCTTCAAATAAAATTGTTACTTCACATGTAGTGTAGGTATCTCATAAAAATACTACTAGATTGTACCTCCTGTACCTTATGACATTGCTATTGTTCATTTCATCTATCCACATTCTATAATTACCCATTTTTTGTTACTGAACAGTTATCTTATGGATCAATAAGAATAAAAAAAGTTTTTAACTTTAATTTATTCTTTTTCATGTATTTCTTTATTGTGGATCTGAATTTCTCATTTGCATCATTTTCTCTCCCCTTGAAGAACTTCCTTTAGTATTTCTTGCAAGACAGGTCAGCTGACAATCACTTAAATTTTGTTTTTCTGAGAAAGTTTTCTATTTGCTTTCTTTGTTAAAGGAAATTTCAATATATAGAATTGCTTTATCCCCCTAAAGTCATATGCTGTTGAATATATTTTCAAATACTTTTTTGCCATTTTTATATTTCCTTTGGTGGCTCCTCCATTTATATTGTTTCCCCATTTTTAACTGAATTGTTTACTTTCTTGTGAAATTTGAAGTGTTTCTTGTGTATTTTGAATAATAGCCTTTATTACAGACTAGTGGATAAAGAAAATGTGGCATATACATACAATCGAATATTATTCATCCTGAGAAAAGAAGGAAATCCTAAAATCTGTGATAACATTGATGGACTGAGAGAACTTAATGCTAAGTAAAATAAGCGAGACACAGAAAGACAAATATACTGCATAATCTCACTTATCTGTGAAATCTAAAAAATTTAAACTCATTAGATGTTAGGGATTAGAAGGTAGGAAAAATGGGGAGATGCTTTTAGTTAAAAGGTGAATAAATTCTGGATATCTAACACATATAGCATAGTAGCTACAGCTGATAAGAAAGTATTGTATACTTGAATTTTGCTAACAGGGTAGGTCTTACGTATTTCCATACAAGCACACATAGACACACACAGAGAAAGTGTAACTTTGTAAGTTGATGAAAATGTTAATTGACTGTGGCTATTATTTCACAATGTATACACACATCACATCATATTATATAACTTAAATATGTAAAATTTTTATTTATCAATCATACTTCAATGAAGCTAGAAAGAAAAATAAGAAAAAACATTTGTACAGCATAATTAATTATGAAAGGGATACATTTTCTAACAATTATGATATCTTTTTCTATGCTTATTTTAGAATATTGTATTGTTATTGGGATTATTGCCACCATTTTCTTCTCTGCACCTGTATTCCTATCTTTATCATAGTGACCAAATCTCCTCTGATAACACTTAATTTTTGTCCATCTGAAATTATATGTTAAATTACAAAAAGTAAATGTTTTCTGATTTTTAGGGAAAAATAAGTATATTTTAGATTTCCTAGGTGACCTCTAGAAAAACTGTGACAATTTTTGCCTTATAAAATGAGTGAGGCTAAAATAAATTGGACTTCTTTGGTGTACCCCATATTTCTTCATTAGTTCCACACATCTGCGTGAGTTGCATGAGGTCAATTCTAAAGGGCTCAGCCTTCTCAGTTCATTTTATGTAATCTTACATATTAAGATGAATGGTGGTGGGGTGCGGTGGCCCACACCTGTAATCCCAGCACTTTGGGAGGCTGAGATAGGCA